>NC_000020.11:1278456-1429971 GCF_000001405.40 Homo sapiens | reverse complement strand
GAAAACACCCTCACAGACACACTCTGAAATAACGTTTTACCATAGATCTGGGTATCCCATAATCCAGTCAAATTAATGCATAAAGTTAAACATCCCAGATATATATTCAAAAGAATTGAAAACAGGTACTCAGATACTTGTACATCCATGTTTAATAGCAGCATTATTCAAAATACCCCAAAGGTGGAAACAACCCAAATGTCCAGCAATAAACAAGTGAATAAACAAATCGTGTACACATAAAATGGATTATTCAGAAACAAAAAAGTAATGAAGTATTGATAAATGCTATAATGGATAAACTTCCATGTTGTAAGGAATTTGGCCTCACTCAAAGAAATGTCTAGAATTTCCAACATGACAGGAGTGTCCTCTTTATTCCTGTTGAGTCACTGGGACCACACCTGATAGTTTATGTTGATGAGATTATTCATAACGCCACTCACACCTGATAGTCTTAGGGTGGAGGGGCTGGCCACACCAGAAAAACCAAACATAGAATTTACTGTGAGAGCTTTCAACCCAACCTCCAGGGTTGGGGTGGAGTGGGCTGAAGATTGAGTTTAATCAATCATGCCCATGTAGTGAAGCCTCATTAAAAACTCTAGATACCAAAGTTCAGGTGAGCTTCCCTGGTTGGCAATACTCTGTGCATGTTATCACACATCATGGTCACGAGGAAGTAACTGTCCATGACCCTGGGGAGAGGACACCGGACACTCCCCATTTAGACCCCTCCCAACTCCATCCTATGCATCTCTTCCTCTGGCTGGTTCTAATTTGTATATTTTTGTTGTAATAAACATAGACGTACATATAATAGGTTTCAGCGAGTCTTTCTGGTGAATTATACAACCTGAGGGTGGTTTTAGGAACCCCTTGAACTTGAAATTTGTGTCAGAGTCTTGGGAGTCAAATTTGGTGGTCTGGAAGACCCTACCTTAGCACAATGTTTTTGAGGTTACCTGCAGTTTGGCTAACTCTAGGTAACCTCAAAACCATTATGCTAAGTGAAAACTCAGACACAAGAGTCACATACTATGACAGCTACATGTTATATAAAATATCCAGAATAGGTAAATCCATAGAGAGAGAAAGCTGATTGATGGTTGCTGGGTGCTGTGTGGAAGGGACAATGGGAAGTACTGCTTAATGGATACTAGGCTTTATTTTGGGTTGACGAAAATATTTAGAACTAGATAGAGGTACTGGTTACACAACATTGAACATACTAAACGCCCTGTTAAAATGATTAATTTTATGTTACTTGATTTTTTTGTGTGTGTGTGACGGAGTCTCACTCTGTCACCCAGGCTAGAGTGCAGTGGTGCGATCTTGGCTCACTGCAACCTCCACCCTCCAAGTTCAAGCGATTCTCCTGCCTCAGCCTCCCAAGTAGCTGGGATTACAGGCACCTGCCACTGCGCCCGGCTAATTTTTTGTATTTTTAGTAGAGACGGGGTTTCACTATCTTGGCCAGGCTGGTCTTGAACTCCTGACCTCATGATCCACCCGCCTCGGCCTCCCAAAGTGCTGGGATAACAGGCGTGAGCCACCGCGCCCGGCCTGTTACTTGAATTTTATCTCAAGAAAAAGAGAATATCTACCCTTACTCATTTGAGTATTTTTGTAGTAATTTCTTCAAAAGGTATCAGATAACCCCAACATCTGTGTCATCTAGGAGTGGGCATCTGTTGATGTCTTCTCCCAGGAGAGTTGACATTTTCCTGGATCTTCACAAGCTGAGTAGTTTGGGATTGTAACCTGAACGTTTTCTGTATTATATTTTGAGGCTCTGGGTCTTATTTAAGTTCTATGGGAAACATTTATATCTTGTGTTTTGGCTGGCAGTCAACCTGGTCAGGTTCAGGCCTCAAGTCCCAACCTTCTGTGTGTGGTGGTTCCAATGTCAGCTCAGTCTGCAAAGCCTTTGCTGACTGTCTGGTACCCTGTGTGCACTACCCAGCAGGGAGTCTGGGACCTGAGCATGTGGCCTGTTAGCACATTTCTCAGAGCCTTTATATGGTGATTACAATCAGATCCACACATGTGCAATTGGAGAGTGCCTCAAGGAGTTCGTAAACAATGTAATGGGGTTGCTTTCACAAGCTCCTCCCTTTTTACAATCTCCCTGGTACTTTCCTGTTTCCTGGGGCTCCCTTTTCACGCTCCCAGCCAGAAAGCTAAAGCTGCAGCATCCCGCTGTGCTGCACTCTTCATGGCAGGGCCAGGTGGTGGGAGCACAAAGAAGAAAAAGCAACAGGGGTTTGCTCCCTTCCTTTTGGGATCACAACTCTGCTGATGCATGAAGAACATTCTCCTCCCTCTGAGTTTCAGCTCCTGCAGGTTCCCAATGCTTTGAGGCCTCTGTCATTCCTGCCAGGGACTCCCTGGTGGCTGGGGCATAGGAGAGCAGGAAGAAGAAAGAAACTCAGGGCAGGAGAGTGGCATTAGAAATTCCTGGTCCTTAAGCCAGCACTAGAGGGCTTCTACTGGAGTTTTCCTGTGTGGTCCCAGTCCCCACTTCCAGGCTACATTTTGTTCTAGCCAGGAAACAAGAAGGGGGCAAAAAGGTAAACTCAGGATGGTACTTTGATTTCTGATCTTCTTCAAGTTACCTTCTACCATTTACTTTTCAGAGTCCTCACATAGCTGGCCTGTGCATCCTGTCCAGGTTTTATAGCTGCCTTCAGCAGGAGAGGTGGGGTGGAACATGCTTATTACTCCATCTTGCCCAGAACTAGATCTGACCCCATCATAGTTTGCCTTAACATTTCCCTGATTATGAAGGATGTTGAGTATCTTTTCGTGCAGTCAGAAGCCATTGCATCCTCTTTTCTGTGAACCTCTATTTATATCCTCTGTTCACTTATGTATAGGAAACTAATGTCTCAGAATCAGGGAGACATACACTTTGAGATATGAATCACAATTTTTTTTCCTATTCTGTTTTTTGTCTTTTGACTTGCTTCTGGTACATTTTTATCATTGCAGAAATTTATTTTTATGAATAGATGAATTGAAGCTCTTTGAGGGGAAAAAGTGACAGGAAGACTTTCAATTACCAGAGTCACTGGGACCTGCCCTAGATTCCATCTCAGTGCCTGTGAAGATTCCAGTTCACCCATCAGGGTGTGTGGACACTGGGATGTCAAAATAAAGCTGCATTATCATTGCTCCCACCAGTCCCACTGATTCAGTCAAATGTCACGTGCACTAGACTGGGCACTGGTGCCTCTTCCTCTCCTGAGTTTTGCCAGTGCTCCCCCAGCCTCTTTCCTGAGTGTAACATGTGGCAGAGCTGAGTGGAGCTGGTCCCCTCCTGATACTCATCTCCGCTTATCTCCCTCAGGCAATGGGGAGTTTGCCACCTGTCCTTCCATCACTGCTGCTCTGCCTGTTAGAAAATCCTTTCTCCTCTGGATGCTGAATTGTCCTCCTACCTCTGGCCTCCAGAAATCTCTCTGGGGATTTCCAGGGGGCCCTTCATCTATGGAGGCTTCTAGAGGAGCCAGGTCTTGTTGACTGAGTCCCTGGAGGTGGAGGGTCTCCCTCAGCTGAGACCGACTGCAGACAGGCCCCTGGAGCTTGACAGGCACCCAGTGCCAACCTCATTCAGCAGCCCATGGAAAGACCTTGGCGGCCTTTGTTTTCTTGCTGACTTGCTATTAGACTCAGGCAAGTCTCTCCTTCCTGGGCTGCAGGATCTGCACATAGAAAACCTTTCCTGTTGTGGCTCTTCCACTAATTAACTGTGGGACCTTGGGCAAGTGACTTAACATCTCAAAGCCTCATTTTCCTCATTTGTAGCTTATTTACTCATTCATCAAACATGTATTAAGCACCTGCTAGGTGCAGGGTACGGAAGTTATAGCAGGGAATAAGAGACATGATTTCTGCTCTTACAGTTTATATCTTAGTGGGATAGATAGTAAATGAACACAGTTGACCCTTAAACAACACGTGTTTGAACTATGTGATTCCACTTATAGGCAAATTTATTTCAACCAAATGTAAATAAAAAATAAAGTATCTGAGTCAGGCACTGTGGCTCATGTCTGTAATCCCAGCTACTTGGATGGATGAGGTGGGAGGATCGCTTGAATCCAGGAGTTCAAGGCTGCAGTGAGCTGTGATCATGCCACTGCACTCTAGCCTGGGCAACAAAGCAAGACCCTCTCTCTTAAAAAAAAAAAAAAGAGGAAAGAAAGAAATATAGTATCCGTGGACTCCAATAAACACTAAAGGACTTGAGTACATGTGAATTTGTGTATATACAAGAGGTCCTGGAAATAATCCTCTGTGTATAACTAAGGACAGCTGTAAATAAATACACAGCAAGGTAATTTCAGATGCCAATAGTTCTCTGAAGACAATGAAATAGAAATGGGACAGTTACTAGCAGCAAATTTTGGGGCTATGTTAGGGTAGCCAGGGATCGCAACCCTGAGGAGTTGACATTTGAGCTGAGACCTGCAACATGAAAAACCAACCAAGCAGAGATTTGGGGAGAAAGTGTGCTTGGCAGAAAGAACAGCAAGTGCAGAGGCCCTGGGGTGGAAAAGAACTTGCTATGTGTGAGGAATGGGAGAAATTCAAAGTGACTGACATGGAGGGAACAACAGGGAACTGAAGGAGGTGGTTGGCAAACATGGGCCAAACATAAGCCAATGCTGAGCAGGCCTGGCCAGGGGGTGGTGTGGCCCTCCAGCATGGGAGCCTGCTGCTCTGAACACCCCATGATCTGGGACCAACATTTTAAAATCAGAAAATTTCACACATAAAAACCCATCTAGATCTTTGGCATCTTTAAAACAAACAAATCAGCATGAAAATGTGCTTATTAGTAGTACTAAATTCCTTTTCTTTTTTTTTAGACAGAGTCTTGCTCTGTTGCCCAGGCTGGAGTGCAGTGGCAAGATCTCAGCTCACTGCAACCTCCGCCTCCCAGGTTCCAGTGATTCTTGTGCCTCAGCTTCCCAAGTAGCTGGGACTACAGGCGCACACCACCACGCCAGACTGATTCATTAGTAATCTTTAAATGCAAAGGAAAACCACATGGAGACACCACTTTGCGCTCATTAGGATAGCTATGATAAAAAAGATAGACAACAAGTGTTGGTGAAAATGTAGAGAAATTAGGACCCTCCTGCACTGAAAGTGGGAATGTAAAATGGTGCAGCCCTTTTGGAAAACAGTTTGGCAGTTCCTCAAAAAGTTATGATAACAGAGTTACCATAGGATCCAGCAATTCTACTCCTAGGTATATGACCAAGGAATTGAAAACAAGTGTTCAGACAAAAACGTACACAGGCTGTTCACAGCAGCACTGTTCCCAATAGCCAAAAGGTAGAAACAATCCAAATGTGCATCAGTTGATAAATGGATAAGCAAAATGTGGTGTAACCACACAATGGAATGTTATTTGGCCATAAAAAGAAATGAAGTAGTGATACATGCTACAACTTGTTGCCACACACTAGAGGGAGAGAGGATTGGGGAGTAACTACTAATGGGTACAGGGTTTCTTTTTGGGATGATTAAAATATGCTAGAATTAGTAGTGATAATGGTTGCACAGTTCTGTAAATATACTAAAACTGCTTAATTGCATGTTCTAAAACAGTGAATTTGTGGTATGATTCTGTTTTCCCAGCTTTCTTGAGGTATGATTGACAAAATTGTGTAAATTTATGGTGTGCAACATGCTGATTTGATATACATATACATTGTGAAATGAGTGCCACAATCGTGTTAGTTAACACATCTGTCACCTCACCCACTTACATTTGTGTGTGTGTGTGTGCTAAAAACATTTAAGATCTTTACCAGACCCAAAAGTTTTTAATTACATGCAAATTAAGAGGTTTGTTATTCAGAATGCTCTAGAAAAGAACAAATGCCGAGTTGTTGCCATGGAAAGGGGTGGTAACTTGCAGCTCGTTGCCATGGCATTTGTAAACTGTCACGGCACTGGTGGGAGTGTCTTATGCTAATGAGCAGCAAGGGTAAATAGAGGTTGCCTTTGGCACCATCTGCTGGCTTCTTTACTTCATCCTGGGACCAGGAAGTAAGTCCGCTGGTCTCCTAAGTCGCCTCCGCAGGCATAGGTATGGAAGCTGTCAGCATGCTAGTAGGAGCCCACATCTAGGGAAAGCTGGGGAGCCACTTCCACAGCAGCATAAACTAGGGCTCCGTGGAGTTCAATGGCTCATGGGACAATGGCTCCCTTGATGGCAACAGCAACTTCCTGCTCACCAACTCTCTGGAGAACACAGTAAAGAGGGGCCTGCTGGCTTCTGCTTCCCTGTCTGTGAAAAGGGGACAGGAAAGCCTGCAGCATGGACACACAGATCAAATGGGAGTGTGTGTGTGTAAGGCGGCCTACCTGGGCCTGGCCCATGTGGGCCCTTGAAACATAGTAATAACAGCTAATGTCTGTAGACTCCTCCATGGCTCCCCATCACCCTCAGGAAACGTCAGATCCCTCAGCATGGTCTGAAAGACCTGGACAAGCTGGCCCCCGGCCCTTCTCCCTCACCTCCCACCCTTCTCCCTTACACCAGCCTCTTTTCTGTTTCTCAGACATGCCTTGCATGCTCCCACCACAGGGCCTTTGCACATGCTTTTCCTCTGCCTGGAAGACACTTCTCCCAGTTCTTTACATGACACATTCCCCCCGACCCCACTCCCCCCCACCACACGCTCTAATCAGGTCTCCAATCTTACGCCCTCTCTGGAAGATGACCCCCAGACCCCATCCCCTTTGACTACCTTCATTCTTCCTCATAACAATTTTCACCACCAACCATGCTCATTCATCCATTTGGCACATGGTTTCTGAGCATCTACTGTATACCAGGTGCTATGCTGTGCCAGAGGCTATAGCAGGGAAAAGACAGACACATCTTCCACCCTCACAGAGCTGACGTCCTGCAGGGGAAACAGATATTACCCATGAGTGAGTGAGGCCCATAGCACATGCAGGCATCGGGCAGGATGTGCTGCAGGGAAGGGCAGAGCAAGTTGAGATTTTAGGTGGTGAGGTCAGAGGAAGCCTCACTGATAAGGTGATATTTGAGCAGAGACCTAAAGGAGGTGATGGAGCAAGCCATGTGGGAACCTGGGGAAAACATTTCAAGCTGAGGGAACAGCAGAGGGAAGGCTTAGGCAGGAACAGCCTACAAGCACGAGGAGAGAAGGGACTTTGCTTGGCTCACAGCTGAACCCACAGCACCTAGCAGTGCCTGACACATAGTAGGTGCTCAATAAATGCTTACTGGGTAGTAGAGCACTTTCTATCCCCCCGGCACAGTGCTAAGTGCATATCACTCCATTGATTTCTAGCAGTCGCCAATCAGAGTTGAACTGGCTTATATGCTGGCCTCCATTTCTGAACTGTGTGGCTTGGGCAGTTCTTTAACCTTTCTGAGCCTCAGTCCTCTCATCTGTAAAATGAGGCTAATATCATAGAGCCCACCTTAGAGAGCTGTTGCAAGGAGTAAATGAGCTAATATTATAATGGTGACTGTTTAATAATTGTTAGCAAGTATTATTATGGTAGTTGTTATTGTTATTAGGCAATGTAGGGAAGCAGAAGAAGTCACTATTTCCGCTTTCAAGGAAGGAGATGGCAGATGAATTAGGAAGTCAGGAGTGACACACAGGAGATTACCCTGTGGCACCAAAGATTCCCAGAGAAGGCAGAGACAAATGAGAACACAGAAATCATTTGAGAGAGAGAGAGACAGCAGCCCTTGGGCCAAGACTCAAAGAGTGGGTAGGATTTACAGAGGAGGGAGATGGCGATAGAAGGCCCTCCAGGCTGGTGTCACTGCACAAACACGTATGGAGGTGGAGTGGAGTACATCAGCCTAACGCACTTCTTGTTCCCCAGTGGAGGGCATATGTGATGGCTGCCATGGTCCTGGGCACACTGTACTGCATCTCCTGCTTGGTGCTGGCTCTGGGGGTGAAGGAACAGTTAGGTAAGAGGGGGGTCATGGGGCCAAGAGAGGCAGGGGTGGTCTCATGCTCTGGGGAGTCCCTACCTGCACTGGGGAGCCCAGGCTGTGGGAGCATCCGGAGAGCGGGGAGGATGGTAGTTCTCACCCTTGTGGTCTCGGGGCTTCTTTGTATGCTTAAACATTCTTGAAGATCTGAAAGAGCTTTTTAAGTGGGTTTGTATCTATTAATATTTATGTTAGTAAAATGGAGAAAAGTTAAAAATATTAATTTTAAAATTGTGAATGCATTACATGTTAACATAAATATAATCTGTTTTCAAAACTGACCATATTTCCAAACAAAAGGCATTTCGTAAGAAGAGTACATTGTTTTACATTTTTGTGAATCCCTGCATTGTCTGGCTTTAAAAAAAGACAGCTGGATTTTCATACTACTTCTGCATACACATCTGCATACACCGTGTTGCACTATCCCATGCACATAGCTCCTGGAAAGCTGCACCATACACTGGTGAGAGAATGAGAGTGTAAAAGGTACACACATCTTAGCATTATTAGGAAAAGAGTTTTGACCTCACAGACCCCTGATAGCATCTCAATGACACTCAGAGTTCTCAGAGCTCCCGAAAACACAGTTTGAGGACTACTGTCCTGGGTGGTCTCATCCTAACCCATAGTTTTAAACATCTCTATATAATTTCAGCTGCATTAACAGAAAGGCCCAAAATTAACAGTAGATAAGACTTTATTTCTCTCAGGGAGAAAAAAAGTCAACCTATGAAGCATCTCTTCCATGAAACTGTTGGGAGCTCAGGCTCTGTCTGGCTTGTTGCTCAGCCATTCCTAAGGTGTTGCCCTCCTGCCACAGTCTGAGATGGCTCTGGCTCATCCCTGCATGCCAGCTATTCTAGGGAGAAAAGAGGACAAAGTGGGTATTTCTCTGCTCTTTACAGGAAGGACCCTGATGTTACTCATTTCACACTTGTTCACATTCCAGTGACCAGTATCTACTCATATGGCACACCTAGCTGCAAGAGAGTCTGGGAAATGGTATCCATAATCAGAGGTCCTCTGTGCCTAAATATAAATCAGGGGTTCTCAGAATAGAAAACCCAGAGATAAAGCCACACCCTATAAACCATCTGATCTTTGACAAGGCGAAAACAAGCAATGGGGAAAGGACTCACTATTCAATAAATTGTACTGGGATGGATAACTGGCTAGCTATATGCAGAAGAATAAAACTGGACCATTACCTTTCACCATATACAATAATTAACTCAAGATGGATTAAAGGTTTAAATGTAAGACTTCAAACTATAATAATCCTGGAAGAAAACCTAGGAAGTACCCTTCTTGACATTGGCCTTCACAAAAAAGTTTTGGCTGAGTCCCCAAAAGCAATTGCAACAAAAACAAAAATTGAAAAATGGGACCTAATTAAACCACAGAGCTCCTGCACAGCAAAGGAAATTCTCAACAGAATGAACAGATAATCTACAGAATGGGAGAAAATACTCATAAACTCTGCATCCAACAAAGGTCTAATACCCAGAATCCATAAGGATCTCAAACAAATAAATGAGAGAAAAACAATAACCCCATTAAAAAATGGACAAAGAACATGAGCAGACACTTCTCAAAAGAAGATAATACAAGTGGCCAACAAACACTTGAAAAAAATATTCATCATCACCAATCATCAGAGAAATGCAAACCAAAACCACAGTGAGATACCGTCTCACACCAGTCAGAATTGCTATTATTAAAAGTCAGAAACAACAGATGCCGGCGAGGCTGCAAAGAAAAGAGAACCCTTATAAAGAGTTGCTTTATACGTTGACTTTTTTTTCTCCCTGAGAGAAATAAAGTCTTATCTACTGTTAATTTTGGGCCTTTCTGTTACATTTGTGGAAATGTAAATTAGTTCAGCCACTGTGGAAAGCAGTTTGGAGATTTCTCAAAGAACTACAAACGGAGCTACCATTTAACCCAGCAATCCCATTACTGGGTATATACCTGAAGGAAAATAAATCATTCTATCAAAAGGACACATGCACTCATATCTTTATTTCCACACTATTCACAGTAACAAAGACATGGAATCAACCTAGGTGCCATCAGTAGTGGATTATATAAAGAAAACTTGATACATATACACCATGGAATACTATGCAGCCATAAAATAGGATGAAATCGTGTCCTTTGCAGCAATATGCATGCATCTGGAGGCCATAATCCTAAGCAAATTAATGCAAGAACAGAAAACCAGATACCACATGTTCTCACTTATAAGTGGGAGTTAAACATTGGGAACAACACACACAGACATAAACATGGGAACAACACACATGAACATAAACATGGCAACAACAGACACTCCAGTAGACACAGCGGACTACTGGTGGAGAGAAATAAGGAAGGGGCGTGGGTGAAAAAACTATATGCTTACTACCCAGATGATGGGAACCATACCCCAAACCTCAGCATCATGCCATATACCCATGTAACAAATCTGTACATGTAGCCCCTGTATCTAAAATAAAAGTTAACCGTTTAAAAAAATAATAAAAATAAGTAAATCAGGAGTTCTCTTTCTATGAGAGAGGAGGCAAGAACAGTGGCTTCTTTGGTTGAATTACACTCAAACCCACAAGGCCCTATGAGGTCTTCCTAGTTTTCTCTCTACACTCTAGTCAGCTTCCCATCCCTGTTCTTGTCCAGCCTCCCTGGTTTTCCTTCTGTTCCTCTAGTGAACAGTCTTTCCTCAAGCTTCTGGTTCATGTTGTTTCTGCCTCCTAGAACAGCCTTCTCCCAGACACCTTCCCAGCTGCTCCTTTCCACTCTCAACTCTCAGCGTGACCACCTGATCTCAAGTAGCCCCCTCCTACCTCATTATTCTTTCTTAGCAGTTTTTTTCTTCACATCACATTATTTTATAATCAGTATGTATTTGCTTGTTAATTTGTTTTTTGTCTTGTTTTGTTTCTAACATAAACAGAAATGGGAACTTCTCTTTTGCTCCCCACAAAACAACCAGAGCGTGGAACATATGAAGTAAAGAATAATATTTATTGAATGAAGACATGAATTGTGAGTAGTGTTATTAACTCCTTTGCCAAGAGTCCACAACTCTCTAGTGGTAGAAGAGACCTGGGAGAAAAAATGCAGATCCATGAGGGCTTTGTAGCAGGAATCTTTTAATTGCAAATGATGGAAACACAACTCAAACTGCCTTAACCAAAGGGAGAGTATATTGGTTCACAAAACTGGAAATTCCATAGCTGTTCCGGCATGGTTGGGTGCCTGAGTAACAGGATGTAGGGCTGATGGTGGAGGATGTGCTGCAGGCTAGGAAAGAGGGCAGCCAGGATGACCCATTGTCAGACGTCCAGACAGTGTCCTCAGGGATCTGTCCTTGCCTCAGGCTCTCAACCCTGCTAGCATTATCTTGACCTCTTTGCCAGATGACTTACCCCTATGGTGGCAAGATGATCATCAGCAGCTACTGTATTACATCCTTTCCAGCTTCCTCTGCTTTCACAGAGGTTCCAGCAACAATCCCAGAGCTGCCTCTCATTGCTCAAATGGAGTCATATGACGCTGCCTAAACCAATCACTGTAGCCAGGGAGATGAAGTTTACTGATGGGCTGAGCCTTGAAGCTGGGGATGGGGAGTGGACTTAGGGGCAGTTGGGAGGGGACTCCCTAAAGGAAAATCTGGGTGCTGTTCCTTCAAGATGAGAGCATGAGACTGAGATGACAGGTGCGTGGCAGACCCCAACCTGACATAACTAAGACAGCCCTCCCCTCCCTGGCTCCTCAGCTCCCTGGCAGCATCCTCACTACTCTCTTTCCCAGCCTCCAGCACATCCTCCACCATCACCCCTAGACTCAGTGGCTTCTTGTTCATCTCCTTGGCTTTCCAAGTGGAAGGGGGTAGCATAAGTGCAGCCTGAGGCAGCAAAAAGAGCACTGGGTGGGGATTCCAAAGCCTGCCCCAATTCTGGGTCAGCCAAGCATCCCTGTGTGACTTTGGGCTAGTTTCTGCCCCTCTCTGGGCCCCAGGGACCAATTGGCAAAGACCTGATGACCTCTTCCTTGAGGCCAATCTTGCAGTCTCAAGAGGGTCTCCAGAAGGGCAGGGGCAACTTCTAAGGGCATCTTCCCCTTCTGGGATGGGAAAACTGAGGCTGGCCTCACAATCTCTTCAGCCACTTTCACACCAGGAAGGCAGGAAACACGTATAACCCTGTGATTTGCAGCCCTGTGCAAGCTGGGGACAGGGTTTCAAATCCATACTCTCTCCAGGTTCAGTTATCTCCACCCTGCAAAGGGACTGGCAAAGCCCCATCTGTGCACAGGCCATCACTAGCACACCACACTGTGCCTGTCATTCCCTGCCTTTTCTCACCCAGATGACTCAAAGGATCTTTGTCTTTTTCTGTAGTAACCCTGCAGGCCTAGGTGGGAGCTTCCAGTGCCTCTTGTCATCATTCTGGTATGTCCAGGAAGTGGGAGGTGGCACCAATGTGTAGCCACCCTGCCTGAGCCCACCAGCCTTGGAGTCAGAACACCCTGGGGTAAATCCTGGCTCAGCTCTTCTCAGCTATGTGATCTCGGTAAGTGGCTTTGCTTCTCAGGGCTTCAGGCTCCTCCTCTAATTCCCACCGCACAGCGCTGTGGTGAGCCTGAGCAAGATGAGCATGTCAGTGTCTGGCGCAGAACGGGCATGCAAGAAGCATTGGTTTTCTTAGCTCCCAGGGTCATCTGGAAAAACCAGTTGGTTTCTTACCACCAAGAGGCAGTGCTTTTTTGTAGTAAGAAACCAATTTCAAAGGCCAGAGAGTTGGGTTCAAATCCTGACTCCCCACTTACCAGCAGTGATTCTACAGATGTTATTTCACCTCTTGGAGCTCAGTTTACCCATCTGTAGAATAAGGATGATAAACTTATCACAAGGGGCTATGGTGAGGAATAAGTGGGGTCTCGAGAGTACCTGTCATGCAGTTGGTGCCCAGAATTGCTGTTCCCTTCACAAAGGCCCCTGGTCAACTGGGCAAGCCACATGCCTGCATTTGTCTCTCAGGAGGGATATTAATCATTTATTCAACAAACATGTCCTGAGCTCCTACTAGGTGCCAGGCACTATTCAGCAGTGAGCAAGACATAAATTGCTCTGCCCTCATGGGGTTCACATTCCGGTGTAATTACAGGCAAAAAATAATAAATGAAAGTACGATGTGCATTGGAAGGGAGGAGGCACAGAGTACCATGGGAAAGGTCATAACAGAGGCCTTCACCTGGCCCCAGCAGTCAGGGAAACCTCCTGGAGGAGGTGATGTTTTAACTGAAGTGGGAAGGATGAGTTGGAGGTACCCAGGTGAAAATGGGAAGAAGGAGGCATGTCTGGGCAGAGAAGACAGCATCAACAAAGGCCTTGAGAGAAGACCATGAGGAGAGTTAGAAGAACTATTAAAAGCCAACAGGCTGAATAAAGAAAGTTGTGGAGAGATGGGGGCTAGATCCAGGGCTGGGAGGTCAGGAGAGGCCAGACGCTACAGGATCTCCTGAACATGGTGCAGAATCTGGACTTAGTCCTGAGGCAACAGGGAGCCCCTCTACTTGGAGGAATCACACTCTGAGCCCCTACTGTGTGCCTAGCCAGTGAGGAGACAACTACCACCCACTTTTGCAAAAGGCTGTGATTAGGCAGGAAATATGGGTCTTAGAACCCTGCTGAGAAGGTCAGGCTGGCTTCCCGGAAGAAGTGCTGTCTGACCAGGGACTTAAAGCGTGAGCATGAGTCACCCAGACTGAGGTCTTCCAGGCTGAGGGAACAGCATCTGCACAGGCTTCGTGTCAAGAGGGAATGCAATGAGTCAGGGGAGCTGCAGGACAGGACTGAGCATGAGTCAGAGAGGCCAGATCAAAGTATCTCCTATGCCAGGGAAAAGAATGCTGGCTTTTGAGGGCAGTGGGGGACCATAGAAGGCTCTACAGGGAGGTGCATGGTCAGGGTGAATTTGTAGAAGATCATCTCAGCTACACGATGGCAAATGGATTAGATGTGGCAGAGTGAAGCCGGGAAACCGTGAGGAGACTGGGTCAGAGACACGGGGATACTCTCAATTCCTTGGCAAGTCCTGGTGGCTCCAGCTTCAACACTGATTGGAATCTAACCCTTCCCCCCACCTCCATTGCCCTGTCTCATGCAAATATTTCCATTCAATATATTTCTAGAAGCAGATTTACTGGATCAGAAAGTAGGCAGATGTATTTTGCTTCTTTTTTTAATTAAAATATTTATTGAAATAATTACAGACTCCAAGAAATAATACAGACACATCCCATATATGCCCTTTACCTAGTTTCCCCCAATGATAACGTTTTGCAAAACTGTAGTATAATATCATGACCAGGATATTTTCATTGATAGAATCCACCCATCTTATTCAGATTTTCCCACTTTTACGTGTACTCGTGTGTGTGTGGTGTGTATTTAGTTCTATGCAAATTTTATCACAGGCATAGGTGTGTGTATTCACCACTGTAATCACGATAGATACCTTCATCATCACAAAGATATCAAAGACTTTATCCTTTCATAAGCATCCCGTTTTCTTCCTTCAGCCACTCCCTACCCATCCTTAAGCGCTGACAACCACTAACTAATCTGATCTCCATTTTAAAATTTTTATTATTGCAAAAATAAATATTTGTGGAGTAAATATTAATGGAATCCTACAGTATGTAACCTTTTGCAGTTGGCTTTTGTTCACGCAGCATAATTCCTTGCAGATTCATCCAAGTTGTTGCACATACCAACAGTTCATTGCTTTTTATTGCTAAGGAGTGTTTAATGACATATATATACTGCAGCTTGCTGAACTATTCACCCACTGAAAGACTTCTGGGTTGTTTCTAGTTATTAGTTCCTATGAATAAAGCTACCGTGAACATAGGTGTACAGATTTTCGAGTGAACATGTTTTCAATTCTCTGAAATGCTCAAGAGTGCAGTTGCTAGATCATATCGTAGTTGCATGTTTAGTTTTATAAGAAACTACCAAGCTGTATTGATTATTGTAGCTATAAAGTAAACCTTAATATTGAGTAGATTGATTCCTTCCACTTTATTCCTCTTTGTTGAGGTTATTTTAGCTATTCTAGAGACTATACCTGTCCTTATAAATTGGAAAATAAACTTATCTATATCTACAAAAAATCTTGCTGGGATTTTGATATGAACATTGAACCTACAGATAAATTTGGGGAAAACTGATATCTTTACTATGTTGAGACTTCCAATCTGTAAACACAGTATGTATTTTCATTTACTTATTTATATCTTTTATTTCTTTTATCTGGTATTTTATAATTTTCAGCATACATATGCTATGCATGTTTTGCTAAATATTTCATTTTCTTTGGAGAGATTATAAGTGGTATTGTGGTTTAAAGTTTTGTTCCATAGATTCACTGCTAGTGTATAGAAATGTCACTGATGTTTGTGTGTTTATCTAGTGTCTTATGACCTTGTAAACTCACTTTTTAGTTGGAGTTTGTTTGTTGCATTTTAAATTCCTCTAGATTTTCTACATAGTCAAACAGGTTACCTATAAATAGTACAGTTTTCTGTCTTCCTTTGTGACGTGGGGCATTTTATTTCTTTTTCTTCCCTTGTTGCAGGGGCTAGACCTTCCAGTATCGTGTAGAATAACAGCGGTGAGGCAGAACATCCTTGTTTCCGTCTTAGGAGGAAAGCGCCATTAGGAAAGCATCATAAGAGGAAAGCAGTCTTTCACCATTACGTATATTAGCTGTGGATTTTTTTGTTTTGTATAATTGTTTTACATGTTCTTTATCAAGTTGAAATAATTTTGCACTATTTATGACTTGCTGGGAGACTTAATGAGTTTTGGATTTTGTCAAATGCTTTCTTTTTGCATCAATTCATATGATTATATGCTTTTCTTTCCTTGGCTTGTTGATATGGTGGATTGATTGATTTTTGAATGTTGAACTACCATAGCTGTAATAAATCTAACTTGATAATGGTGAATAATTATTTTTATGCATTGTTGGATTTGGCTTGCTTATATTTTGTCAAGGATTTTTGCATCAGAATTAATAAGAGATACTGGTCTGTAATTTTCTTTCTTTTTATTTCGTCTCATAATATTGGCCTCATGAAATGAATTGAGAAGTGTTTCCTCTGCTTCTATTTTTTGGAGGAGATTGTGTAAAATTGGTGTTGTGTTTTTCAAATGTTTGGTAGAATTATCCAGCTTGGAGCATTTTAATTATGAATTCAGTTATTTTAATGAATTTTTTTTTTTTTTGAGACAGAGTCTCGCTTTGTCACCCAGGCTGGAGTGTAATGGCACGATCTTGGCTCCCAACCTCCACCTCCCAGGTTCAAGTGATTCTCCTACCTCAGCCTCCTGAGTAGTGGGATTACAGGCATCTGCCACCATGCCCAGCTAATTTTTGAATTTTTAGTAGAGACAGGGTTTCACCAGGTTGGCCAGGCTGGTCTCAAACTCCTGACCTCAGGTGATCCACCAGCCTCAGCCTCCCAAAGTGCTGGGATTACAGGCATGAACCACCGTGCCTGGCCATTTTAATGATTTTAGGACTGACCAAACTATCTGTTTCATCCTGGTTGGGTTTTGGAAGTTTTTTTTTATTTTTTAGGAATTGTTTCATTTCTTCTAAGTTATCAAATTTATGAGCATCAATGTATTTACAGTATTTCCTTATTATCTTTTTAAAGGCTACAAGATCTATATTGGCATTCCCTGTTTCTTTGTGGTACTAGTGATTTGTATCTTCTTTTTGTTTTCCATCTTGCTAGAGGCTTATCAATTTTATTTATTTTTTAATAAATCAGCTTTTTTGCAGTTTTTCTAGTTTTTCTGTTTTTGATTTTATTTATATCTGCCCTGAATTTTACTGTTTCTTTCCTTATGCTAGTTTTGAATTTATGTTGCTCTTGTTTTTCTAGTTTCTAGAGGTACTAACTTAAATTGCTAATTTGAGACCTTTCATCTTTTCTAGTTAAGCATTTAGTGCTATAAATTTTCCTCTCAGCATTACTTTTGCTGCATCCCACATATTTTGATATCTTGTATTTTTACTTTTATTTGGTTTTATGTAGTTTTTAAATTTCCCTTTAAACTTCTTCTTTGAGCCATAGATTATTTAGAAGTATGTTGTTTACTTTCCACATGTTTAGAGATTTTCTGCCTTTATGCTATTGATTTGTAGGCTTATTCCATTTTTGTCAGAGAACATACTCTATAATTATAATTCTTTTAAATTTGCTGAGGTTTCTTTCATGGTCCAGGATATGTCTATGTTGGTATATACTTCTTGGGTTCTTGAAACTAATTATATTCTGTGTTGTTGGTTGGAGTATTTTATACATGCCTATTAGATACCGTTGTTTAATGGTGTTGTTCAGATCCTCTAAATCCTCACTGATTTTCTACCTAGTAGTTCAATTGATTGTTGAGATTGGGTTGTTTATGCCCCTGACTGTAATTGTGGACTTGTCTATTTCTCCTTTCAGTTTTATTAGCTTTGGCTTTACATATTTAAGTCTCTGTTGCTTGGTGCCTGCACATTTAATATTGTTTTGTCTTCCTAGTGGATTGATCCTTTTATTCTTATGTAATATCCCTCTTTGACTCTAGTAAATTTCATGGTTCTGAAGTCCACTGTATCTGATATTCATTTAGCCACTTCTATTTTTTAAACTAAAATTTGCATAATATATCTTATTATATCGCTTACTTTCAGCCACCTAAATTGTTGAATTTGAAATGAGTTTATCATAAACAACATATATACCCTGCCAATCTGTCTTTTGATTGTTATATTTAATAATTTAAGATTGTCAAGATGACAGGTGTTGAGATGGTCAGTTAGGACAATAAGCCAAATGAAATTAATAGTCAAGACTTTGTTCACTTACTAGGATAGTGAAGTCCAGAGACAAAGAAAAAAAAATGTGTTGGCTTTCCAGTGTTCCATTTTCCCACATAGGACAGCATCAGGTGAAGGTCAGGAGGATCAGTGAAGACAGGAAGATTATCTCACTAACAAGGAGCCCTGAACAAGAAGCTACTGCCATTTTAGAATTTGTTTTTCCATTTCTGCTAAAAATGCCATTCGGATTTTGATAAAGATTTTATTGAATGTTTAGATCAGTTTGAAGAGTGTTGTCATTTAAAAAATATTAGGTCTTCTAATCCATGAACATAGTATATGTCTACATTTATTTATACATTTTCATGTTTTCCAGCAATGTTTTGTAGTTTTCAGTGTACAAGTCTTGCATTTCTTTTGTTAAATTTATATCTAATTATTTTATTATTTTCAATAGTATTATAAAGAGATTTGGTTTTTAATTTCATGTTCAGATTATTCATTGCTGGTATATAGGTATACAAATATTTTTGTATATTTATATTGTATCTTACAACTTTGCTGAGCTTGTTTATTAGCTCTAATAGTTTTTTGTGTATTCCTTAGTATCGTCTATATGCAAGATCATGTCATATGCATATAGAAATGGTTTTACCTCTCCCTTTTAAATCTGGATGCCTTTTAGCTTCTTTTATTACCTTATTGCATTGGCCAGAGCCTCCAGTACAATGCTGAATAGAAATAGTAATAATGGGCATTCTTGTCTAGTTCCTGATGTTAGGAACAAAGCATTCAATCTTTTTTATTTACTTATTTATTTATTTATTTATTTTTGACACAGGTTCTCACTCTGTCACCCAGGCTGGAGTGCAATGGTGCAATATTGGCTCACTGCAGTCTCTGCCTCCTGGACTTAAATGACCCTCCCACCTCAGCCTCCCAAGTAGCTGGGACTGCAGGTACACACCACCACACCTGGCTAATTTTTATATGTTTTTTAGAGATGTGGTTTCACCATGTTTCCCAGGCTAGTCTCAAACTCCTGAGATCAAGCAGTCCACCTGCCTCAGCCTCCCAAAGTGCTGGGATTACAGGCGAGAGCCACCATACCTGGCCTCAATCATTAATCATTAAATATTATATTAGCTGTTGGTTTTTTAATAGATGTTCTTTATCAGGCTGAGGAAATTCTTTTTTATTCCTAGTTTGTTGAACATTTTTATTATGAAAGGGTGTTAGATTTTGTCAAATGCTTTTTCTGTGTCTGTTGAGATGATCGTTTGGTTTTTCCTTATTCTATTGATGTTATGTATTTTATGGATTGATTTTTGGATATTAAATCATCCTTGCATTTCTGGTCATGGTGTATAGTCTTTTTTTGTGTTGCTGGATTCAGTTTGCTATTTTGTTGAGAATCTTTGCATCTTTATTCATAAGGGATATTTGTCTGCAGTTTTCTTTTCTTGTGATGTCTTTGTTCCATATATCTCTTTGTTAAGGAGGAAAATCTTTCCCCAAAGTCCTCTGACAGACGTTCCCACAGTTCTCATTGGCTAGACACCTAATAGGATGGCTATAATAAAAGAGAAACAATAACAAGTGTTGGGGAGGATGTGGAGAAATTGGAACCCTCATTCATCACTAGTGGGAATGTAAAATGGTAGAGCCACTTTGGAAATACCTAAAAAATTAAACATAAAAATTACCATATACAACAATGTCAATGTGTCCCATTGGCTACATGGCCAATCCTTGCTGCAAGGGACACTGGAGAACAAATTACTAATATTTCACCATCTGT
This sequence comes from Homo sapiens, assembly GCF_000001405.40. NCBI lineage: Eukaryota > Metazoa > Chordata > Mammalia > Primates > Hominidae > Homo > Homo sapiens. The sequence continues at coordinate 1,410,269 of NC_000020.11, read as the reverse complement.
CTTGGAAGATAGGCTCTTCCAAGAAGGGAAACAATGGAAAGGAATGGCTACTGGATGAAATGTCTGTTCCAGAGACCACATAGGTATTGGAAAGACTGTTCTGATTATGGTAAGGAGGGTTAGCCAGCATAAGAAAGGCTGGAAATAGGAAAACCAAGTAGGAAGCCACTGCAAACAACCAGGAGTGAGATGTTAAGGCTGAGGCCCAGACAGAAAGTACCTTCAGGCAAGAGCAGAGGCATTTCTCCTGCTGCCACTGAAGATAGCTTTGCCACACTCACTTCTCTTTCTCCTCCAATCTAATACCCCTTGTACTATGGTGTAGGGATGGCCTGGGAGTCAGGAGGTCCAGGTTCTATCTCAGCCTTCTCTGTGGTTGTAATAGTTAGGGCAAAGGCTAGCCCCGAAATGAAATGGCTTATACAAGACAGAGCATTATCTTCCTCTCACATAACAGTCCAGGGAAGTAGGCAGGCTTGTTCCATGAAGTCATCCAGAGTCCCAGGTTGGGAGGAGGGTGGCCCTGCAATCCTCTAGCACATTGTTGTGATCCCCAACTTAGGATGTTGTGTCAAAGTTCCAGCTAGAAGGAGGAGGAAGTAGTGGAAGACACTGGTCCAGTGTCTTCAGCTTGAGTCCCAGGACACTTCCGCTCCAGTTCCATTGTCAAAACCTAGTCACATGGCCATACCTGACATGGCTGGAGAATGTAAGCAAGCTGGGCATGTCATCTAGAATGCAATCAAGATGAAAGTTTCAGGGGAACTGACCACATGCTCGGCCTCATGGATTTGGTGGAAAACCAGCAATTTGCTTGGGAAAGTCCCTTCCCTGTGGTATGACCTGCTCTAAAGCCTTGGACTCAGATACCTCATGGGAATTCAGCAAAGTCTGTGCCCTACCCAACTTCACCATCAGGTACCAAGAACTCACAATGAACAGACATCTTGTCTATACCAACAGCATGGCAGGACATTCGGAATGTGGGATTCAGAGAAACAGAAGGCATGGCTGTGCTGTTAAAGACTCTTCTAGTCAAAGAGAACATGCTGAGACCAAGGCATGTAGATGAACTGTGTCATGTGCATATTCAACCTTCAAGGATTCAACTCATATACAAAGCAGAGCAATATCAAGGAGGCAGGGGTTAGTACTGAGCTTGCAGTAAAAAACGTACTCAGCAACAGAAAGTGAGTGGAATGATGGTTGCCAGGAGCTAAGGGAAGGGCACAGGGAGTCATTGTTTAAAAGGTACAGAGTTTCAACTGGGGAAGGGGAAAAGTTCTGGAGATGGATGGTGATGATGGTTGCACAACAATGTTGAATGTACTTTATGCCACTGAACCTACACTTAAAAATGGTTAAAATGGGACCAGGTGTAGTAGCTCACTGCTGTAATCCCAGCACTTCAGGAGGCTGAGGCGAAAGGATAGCTTGAGCCTGAAAATTTGAGACCAGCCCAGGCAACATAGTGAGACGATATCTCTACAAAAAAATTAAAAAATTCACCAGGCATGGTGGTGTGCGCCTGTAGTCCCAGCTACTTGGGAGGCTGAGGTGGGAGGATTACCTGAGCGTGGGAGGTTGAGGCTGCAGTAAGCTGTGATTGCACCACTGCACTCCAACCTGGCAACAGAGCAAGACCCTGTTATACACACACACACACACACACACACACACACACACACGAGTCTTCATACAAAAATGAAGACTCAAAGAAGTGGCAAAATCTAAGTTCTTGCCTTTTCACTCTGAAGGGCTCATATTTGTAGGGGAACTCCTCCATGCTGGTGCCCTGACAACCTTGCACATTTTTACCTAGGCTACAGGGCAAGGCTTAACCACTGCTGACCTAAGTCTTGGAGGGATACCCCATGGTCACCCAGATCATGAGAAGTCAGGTGAGCTTGCCAGGAGCTGCCACAAGGCCATCTCTCACCCACCTCTCTATCTACAGGAAGACTGTCATGGCCATTTCTCATCTGCCTTGCTGGTTCTGATGAAGCGGGCCTGTCCACTTCCCCTCCTCCCCTCAGGGTACAGCTGCAGGCTGTAAAGCTGCTTTGCTGCAGCATATAATTGGCTCCTCAGCATCAGGGACCCATCACCTCTGTTGCATGTCACTTGGCCCCTTCTGTTCCAGTGTCATCCTGTGATCAAGGGCCATGGGGAGCAATACCATTGTTGTCTGTGTAAGTAATAAGTCATCTTAATCTATATGGGCTCGATGTGTTCCTACCAGCTAAATCGATGACAGAGTGGCAAGCTAACCTGGCAGCTTCTGATACTACTTAGAATCTGTTAGCCTATCTGACAATATCACTTTCACATCAACATGATTGTCCCATCTGGGGGTCATCTGTAGCACACCCCTCATCCTAAGTTGTCCCTGCCCATCACCCCTCCTCAGTATCCAGCCACTATGGGCCCACTAGGTCAACACTTGGTTACTCAGAAGCCTGAACCAAGGGGCATTTTTCAGGCTCCACATGTAGCAAAATAAATCTTCATAATTAAAAAAAAAGTACACAATGTTCACAAGCCAAATAATGGTCCTATGTGGGTTCCCATGCCCACTCCATCTCTATTAGTGCAGAACATTGGGGGTAGCATTTGTTTCCTCCTGCATGGCTCCACAGTACAGAGCAAACAGCAGAGCTACTGGGGCCAGACAGACTTGGGCACATTTCTGGGCGTATGTGTTTTAGTTTCCGGAGGCTGTTGTACAAAATTACTACAGATAAGGTGGCTTAAAACAAAAGAAATGGATTCTTCCACAATTTACTCTTTCACAATTCTGAAGGCCAGAAGTCTGAAATCAGTATCACTGGGGCAAAACCAAGGCGTTGCCAGGGCTATGCTCCCTCTGGGGGTCCTAGGGGACAGTCTGTTCTTGGCTCTTCCAGCTTCTAGTGGCTGCTATCATTCCTTGGCTTATGGTCACAGCACTTCAATCTTCAAGGTCGGCAGCTTCAAATCTCTCATCTCTGTAGTCACAGTACCTTCTTTTCTGTGTGTGTGGGGTCAAATCTTCCTCTACTTTCCTCTTATATACATGCAACTGCATTTAAGGCCCACCCTGCTAATCCATGACAGCCTTCCCATCTCAAGATCCTTGACTTAATCACATCTGCAGAGGCCCCGTTTCCATGCAAGGTAAGAGATTAGAACCTGGTACCTTTGAGAGGCCATTTTTCAAGCTACCACATGTAGCCATAGGCAAGTTATTCTATGTCACTAAGCCTCAGCTTTCCCTTCCGTAAAAGAGGGGTAATAATAGTGATGTTGGGATAAGGATTACATAAGCCACTCTAGGCAAAACACATATCACTGCATTTCTTATGGTTGAGTTAGCTTCCTGTTGCCTTGCTACAAGGTGAAGAGCCACTTTCCTGATCTCCTGGAGCCATTAAGACCCGTCTTGGCCCTTGGTACACACTGCTTGGTGAATCCTCCTAAAGCCATGGGTCATTATTTGTAGCCACTATGATCTACTGATCACAATTCCCAATCCAAATATCTGAGTACATACTTGGGAGTCTAAGAACTATTTTTGGGCTCCAAAGCATCTGAGAGATATAGTTTAGCTTAGACCAACACAGAATAAGAATTTCCTAGACATTTAGAGAGCTGAGGAGAAGAGCTGGTGTGTTTTTTGTTATTTTGAAGATTAATTTTGCTACATCTCATAGCCTGAAAAATGCTCCTTGCTGTCAGAGTGGCCCAGGAAATTCCAGCATGTATAAGCCCTGTAGCTACTGACATAGAACATGAGAGAAGAGTCAAGGGAATGAAGGATTCTGATCCCTTCCACTTTCCCCGGCAAAGCCAGATCATGAAATGCCTTGTAAGGCACCTGAATTTTTTCTGAGTGCAATAGAAAAGCCCTGTAGGGAGGCACAGCAGACATTTTTAAAGGATCTCTAAGAAAATCTCTTCTGGAACTGTAATACCTCCCCTTTGGGAGCTAAGAGTAAGGACTGAACTTCCTGAGGACTCCCAGGACATACCAAAATGGTTCTTTCCCACTAAAGAAAAGTTTCATCCTACCCCTTGTCTCAATCTTGGGCCACAAAGATTCCAGGTGTCCTCATTTCAGGAGGCAAGGGCTTCCATTTCACCATTTTTCAAAGTGGGATTCCCAGACTAACAGCATCAGCATCATTTCAGAACTTGTTAGAAATGGAAATTCTCAAGTTGCACCTTAGACCTACAGAATGAGGAACTGGGGTTGAAGCACAGCAATCTGGGCTCTACCAAGTTCTGCAGGTGATTCTGATGAAGGCTTAAGTGTAAGAACCTCCTGCAGTCATTACACACACACCCAAAGCAACTGATTACCCAGCAAGTACAGCCTTTGGAGATCAAGTGATCTGCGAGTTTGTGGATCATATTACTCAAGAATCTTTTAGTTGCAAGTGGCAGAAAATTCAATTTAGACGAGCAAAAAGAATTTATTGGCCCATAAAGTGGAAAGCTTAAGGGTCATCTAGATTCTGACACTGCTGGCTCTACTATAATCAGGGTTCTCTTTTAATTAGTAACTACACCCAGAAGAATTGGGGATTAACTTTTTGCTATGAACTGAACTATGTTGCCCCTAAATTCATATGCTAAAACCCTAACCTCCAAGGTACTGGTATTTGGAGATAGGGCCTTTGGGAGTGCATGATAAATGCACCTAATAGCAATAAATTAAGTATACCCTGAGAATGACTCTGTATGGCAGACGCACCTTAATGTGGGTTCCAAGCTAGGAAATCTGGGAGTAGCCAACTTGGAGATTCCTTCCTTGTGTATGAGGAACATCTGAGTCTATGAGGAACCTATGGCCCATCCTGTGGAATGCGGGCCATACAGGGGATCGAGACCTTTTGTTTTAGGTCAGGTGAAGTTGCTAGGTGGAGACTGTTGGGGGAGGGTGCTAAGTGAAAATGCTATATAAACTGCATGTCTTTTACAAGCAGTTGTGGTTCTTCTGCCCAGGCCACCACCACTGAGCCATGTGGTTATCCCATCCAGCCTGCCACCACTGGACTGTATGTACCGCAGTTCTCCTATCCAGCCCACCACCACTGGACTCTCTCTCCTGTATGTAAGCCCCAAATAAAACCTCATGTCTCATTTGCTGGCTCTAGGTCTCTTCTTTGGCCTCTTGAACCTGATGCCATCCCCATTGGAGTCAGTAAGGGTTTGGCACAACAGGGAGGTAATGAGGTTTAGAAATCATGAATGGGCACGGTGGCTCACTCCTGTGATCCCAGCACTTTGGGAGGCGGAGATGGGAGGATCACCCGAGGTCAGGAGCTCCAGACCAGCCTGACCAACATGGAGAAACCCCGTCTCTACTGGGAATACAAAATTAGCCGGGCATGGTGGCACATGCCTGTGGTCCCAGCTACTCAGAGGCTGAGGTGGGAGAATCGCTTGAAACTGGGAGGCGGAGGTTGCAGTGAGCCAAGATCGCACCATTGCACTCTAGCCTGGGCAACAAGAATGAAACTCCATCTCAAAAAAAAAAAAAAAAAAAAGAAATCATGAGGGTAGGGCCCTCATGATGGGATTAGAGAAAAGAGACAGCAAAGAGCGTGCACTCTCCCTCTCGTTTTTCTCTAGCTCTTCCCATTCTTTATCTCTCACATGTGAGGATACAGCAAGAAGACAGCTGTCTGTAAGCCAGGAAGAGAACCCTCAGCAGAACCCAACCATAGTGGCACTCTGTCTGGCCCCAGTAGCTCTGCTGTTTGCTCTGTACTGTGGAGCCAGTTATAGTTGGAATGTTTGTGTCCCACTCCCCAAATTCATATGTTGAAATTTCTAACCCACAAGGTGATGGTATTAAGAGATAGAGACTTTGGGAGGTAATTAGGTCATGAGGGTAGAGTCCTGATGAATAGGATGAGCTCTTTTTTTTTTTTGAGACGGAGTTTCGCCCTTGTTGCCCAGGCTGGAGTGCAATGGTGCGATCTTGGCTCTCCATAACCTCCGCCTCGTGGGTTCAAGCGATTCTCCTGCCTCAGCCTCCCAAGTAGCTGGGATCACGGGCATGCGCCACCACCTCGGCTAATTTTGTATTTTTAGTAGACTGAGTTTCTCCATGTTGGTCAGGCTGGTCTTGAATTCCCAACCTCAGGTGATCTGCCCACCTCAGCCTCCCAAAGTGCTGGGATTACAGGCGTGAGCCACTGCGCCCAGCAGGATTAGTTCTTTTATAAAAAGAAGCCCAAGAGAGACCTCTCACTCCTTTCATATGTGGGGATGCAGCAAGAAGGCACCATCTATGAGCCAGAAAGCTTGCTCTCACCAGACATGAAATCTGCCTTGATCTTGGACTTCCCAGCCTCCAGAACTCTGAGAAGTAAATTTCTGTTGTTTATGAATCACCCAAGGTATGGTATTTTGTTACAGCAGCCAGAATGGACTAAGACATGTCCATTCCTAAATCAGTCACTGTATTTAAGGGCTTGAGTCACATGACCACTCCTGGAGCTGAGTGTTGCATTAGTTCCACTTGAACATCATGGCCAAGAGTGGAGAAGGAGTGCTTCCCCAAATGAAAACCAAAGTGCTATTACCGGAAAAGACAAATGTCACCAAATGTCCACCATAGAATTTATAAGAGTTTTGGCTACAGTTTCACCCAAGCCTTATGTTTTGTGCAGTACTAGACAGTCCCAGCCACACCCTGATGATACTGACACAGCAAGGCATCTCCCCTCCCCCTCCTGCTGCCCATCAAATTTAGGACCTTCAGAGTTGGCCTCATGTACTCACTTCCACCCACAAGCACAAGAGCTGGTCTAATCCCCATTCCCGCAGGCCTTTTCACTCAATACACAGACTATCCAAAGGTGAAAGCTTCTACTCCTGGAGGTAGTGGCTTCCCTGTCAGTGGAGATATTCAAGCAGAACCTGGGCAGCCCATTGGAAGCTTCTTTGAGGAGAAGATATGGGCATTTAAGTGGAGACCATGTCTCTGATTCCTGGAGCCTCCTAAGACTGTGATAAGGCTCAAATGTATCAACTCCATCTACTGATGAATGTCTGAAATTTCACCATTAGAGACTGTCCCTTAACCAGAATTCTTAAACCCTTTAAGGTATAAAATATACAGTCAAGATACTGTCAGACATTTATACATTTGATACTTCAAATCCAGAAGGTTTTCTCCATTGAGTAAAAGAAGAGAGCCATAGGAGCTCAAAGGGAGAAGAAGGTGGTTGGGAGTTTTGGCAGTTCCACCTTGGGGACCTCAGACCCCATCCATCTCAGCTATGTTTCCAAACTTCAGATTTGCAGAGGCCCTTTCAGAATGCACATTCTGCTTTTGAGGCTGTAGGTGTTTTAGCTTAGAGACACACCTTTGCTGTTGCTCAAACTCTTGGTCTCAAGCAATCTGCCTGCCTCATCCTCCCAAAGTGCAGGGATTACAGGTGTGAACCACCACACTCAGCCAAGATGGAAAGTTGAAGCAAATAAAATAGAACATATAAGGAAGAATAAAGTGGAAATGTTAGAACTAAAAAATAAAATGAGAACAACAAGAACAAATTCCCGGATGGGCTTGTAACCTGCATGGACCTTGGGGAGCTGAACAAAGGGGGCAAACATGGGAATAAAAGACGAAGACAAGAGAGCATATTTGAAAGAAGGGGTCAGGGGGCTCCTTGCTTCTAGTGAACAAGGGCCCTGAGCTTTAGAGCCCTTCGCATTTATTAGGCAAAAGAGATAGTGAGAAGAGGTGATGGTGATTGTTGGTCAGCAGTTTGATTTACAGCAGGCTTGCAAGACTGCATTCTTCAAACGATAGGCTCTGGATGTCCCAGTAGACAACCTCAATGAGCATGGCGCCAGGGAGTGATTGCTCTTGGCAAACCTCCTGGCAGCAGGCGCAGTCGTGGGTTTGCCCACATCCTGCATTCATGATAAACAGTTTGCTGTTTGATCACATAGCCTCCAGTGGAATGCTGAGTTGGTCATGATCCCTTTGGCCTTTTCAGCTCCCAACATTCCCCCATTCTGTTTATGAATTAATTGAAAGAACGTAAGGCCAGGCTGGGCAGCTCTCATTTTCCAATTGGCAGTCCAACGGATTTCACAGACGATGAACAGAAGACAGAGACAAAACAACATTATTCCAAGAACTACATATAAGATGTTAATGTGGGGCCTTAGATAGGTCCAAGGGTTGAGGCTCTCCAGGCCTTGCTGGAATTCGGTCCAGTCTTCTAAAGAAGGCTGAAACTCTTGAGTTTGCCTATGTAAATCAAGAATTTTGTTTTATAATTCACCAATATCAAAGGTGATGTTGGATGTGAAAGCTCCCTGCAAATGAGCTTTCACAAGGTCCCACGGATACTCACTTTGGTTATAATCTAAGTTGGCTACACAAATATGAGTGTGATTAAAATGACAGCACAATTGCTGTTGCAATTGTAACCTTTGCACTTGTTCCCCTAACCATGGGGATTTCAACACTGTCACTTCAGTTTGTAACTCAGTGTTAATTTTATTCTGAAGTAGCCACACTTGGTTGGCTGTACTTGGTTGGCTGTGTCCAGTTCTCTGTGTACTGAGCCATTTGAGCAGAATTATGCAAAGCTACAGAGGACATCACAACAGAAGTTATCAGTGTGACTAAGGAAACAATAGTAAAAATGATCATGCCTAAGGCTCTACGGACACAGTGAGTAAGCTGAGTTAGAAGATGTTTCACAAAGCGTAAAGCAGGGGTGGCAGCCCAAGGCTTGGATGGATGAACAGGAATCCACAGTCCAGGGATGCGACCCAGAATGATCAAAGTAGAGGTATTCTGTGTTTGCAATGTGCTGTGATTAATGCAGTGATATAACTGACAAGATTTACAGGTCAATTGGGTGTTGTTTACCTGGAGCTGGTGCTTTTTAGCTGCCAGAAAGACATAAGGATTAAAAACACAAACCGTGCTGGGCGCAGTGGCTCACACCTGTAATCCAAGCACTTTGGGAGGCCGAGGCGGGCAGATCATGAGGTCAGGAGATTGAGACCATCCTGGCCAACATGGTGAAACCCCATCCCTACTGAAAATACAAAGAATTAGCCAGGCATGGTGGCAGGTGCCTGTAGTCCCAGCTACTCGGGAGGCTGAGGCAGGAGAATGGTGTCAACCCGGGAGGCAGAGTTTGCGGTGAGCCAAGATTGCACCACTGCACTGCAGCCTGGGTGACAGAGAAAGGCTCCACCTCAAAAAAAACAAAACAAAACAAAACAAAAAACCAAAAAAAAAAAAACCCACAAACCATAAATTGAGTGGTGATATTCTTTACAAATGTAACATTAAGACTGTGTCGTGACCCCGGTCGGCCTTCTCCGCATCTTCGCACTCAAGCTCAGCTGGCTCATGGCCTATACTGGAGGGGCCAGGCCCATGGCTGGCCACCCTGGGTTCCTCCAGTCTCCTGTTCCATGGTCACACACACCTTGAGGGCAACCACACAGTTTGTCCATCTCCTGTAAAAACACAAGCATACCCTCTTCCCCATGTCAGTAAAGCCACCAGACCTTTCCATTGTCCTTCTTCTGGGGATTTCCATAACACTTTTGGATACACTTTCCTCTTTTCCTCTAACACTTGCCAATGTCTTTCTGCTGGAGTCTTACCATCCATACCAGGAATCAAAAAATTTAAAGTAAATAAAGCTAAATGTAATTTTGTTTGAGGTGGTAACTGGTCTCCTAATCCCCCTTTTTGTTTATTCAACATACATTGTAATGTTTGATGTACCCGCTCTATAATGCCTTGTCCTCAAGGGATGTAAGGAATTCCTGTTTTATGGGTTATAGCCCAAAGCTGTAAGAAATTTTGAAAAGCATGACTAGTATAAGCGGGTCCATTGTCAGTTTTTAATTGTTTAGGAATCCCCATATGAGCAAATGATGACAGACAATGTGGCCGTACATGACCAGCTGTCTCACCTGTTTGGCATGTAGCAGGCAGCATATGAGAATAAGTGAAACAAATTAAGCAGTTCGGGGTCTAGAGTACTTTTAATTGTAGCAGTTTCTATGCGACTGGTTACATTCACAACATAGGCTGAATCACAGACAATGTTGATAGGATCTGCAGCTGTGAGCTGTAAAACCTGAATGACTGCAATCAACTCTGAGTGTTGAGCTGAAACCCCAGAGGTCATTATTGTTTGAGTATGTTTAGGTCCATAAATAGCTGCATGACCTTTGGAAGAGCCATCAGTAAAATAAGTCTGGCCACCTGGAATAAGCTTGTGATGAGTAATCACAGGAAGAATGAAAGAATGGACTTTATAAAACTGCAAAATTTTGTCTGAGGGATAATGAAATCAAAGGTTTCTGTAGCTGTAGCTGGGAGGCATGCCATTGCCGAACTCAACTTCTGCCTCTGGTTAATTGCCGCGGGGAATCTAAAGAAGAATCTCCCTGCGGGGTTTAACCTGCCTTTCCAGTTACTGATATCGGGTTAGGGTTTCCTTGTAGGGATTTCCCTAAACCTTTCCCACTCTGATATCCCATGTCCTTCAACATTTTAAATCCTGGGTTATCAAAGTTTTCATATGTAAGTCTCATATCCCATGCTGTAAATCTCGATAAACTGATATGGCTATCAATTTATAGCCATAAATTGATAGCTATATTTTCAACATAAGGCTGAAAAGTACATGATTGTCCATCCAGACCAAGACAAGATAAAAATCTCAGCACTCTGTTGAACACTTTTAGCTGCTCCTACTCCCACTAGGGATGTGGCAGTTATTCTGAGAGGCCATGCTGGGGGCCAGTCCTTACTGGATATTACTGACACATCAGCTCTTGTGTCCATAAGCCCATAAAATTTCTTTCCTTTAATTTGTACTACACAGGTGGGCCTACTAGAGGCTATAGATTGTGATAAATAGATTTCTCGTGTAGTTGTGCTCCCAAACCCTTTATTTCCTTGTTTCTCCTTTAGTGGAGAAGGGTATAATTTGCAGGGAATAAGCAATAATTGTGCTATATATTCTCCCAGTTCAAAAACCCAAAGATCTTGTGACATTAAAACTACTTGAATTTCTCCTTCATAATCAGAGTCAACAACTCCTGGGACTACAGTAATGCTTTGCAAGTTAAGGTGGCTTTTGCCTAAAATTAGTCCCCTGTATCCTGCTGGTAAAGGTCCCCAGATGCCAGTGGGAATTTTGATAGGTTTGTCTCCACCAACTAACATTACCTGTTCTCTGACTGGGAGATCTAATCCTGCACTTCTGGGTGTTCCTGGAATGAGGGAATCAATGTTTCTCCTGGGACCCGCCCCTGAAATGGGGTTGTGGTCTGAACTGGGAATGCCCTCATTGTTTGAGGGACCCAGGTCCAGGCCCCCTTCTCGTTTCCCGACAGTGGGGGATGCCATTCTGATGAAATCTTGAGCGGCACTGATTACCCCAGTGATTTCCTTTGTTACAGCGAGGAGAGTCCTGGCATGTTTTCCACTATGGAGGGAGGGGTACTGCATTATAAGATCCTTTCTGTCCTGAGATCTGGCAGCATTCCTTTTTAAAATGTCCAGTTTTTCCACAATTATAACATTTTCCTACTTTAGGGCTTAATCCTTGGCTCCTTTTAGATTTGTCAACTGCTAGATTAGCCATTGCTTGCGCTAACATTGAAGACCCATGAAGCTCAGTTCCTACATCCTGACAAGCTCTGAGAAAAGTTTTTTGTACACCTCACAGGTGCCAGTGCACGTTTACAATCTGCGTTTGCATTCTCAAAAGCTAAAGTTAAGGTTAGCATTTCCGTGGCAGTGGCAAGAGGAATTTGATGCTTCACTGCCTCTTGTAATCTTGCAAGAAACTGCGCGTAGGGTTCCTGTGACCCTTGCATGATATGTAAAAAGGACAGTACTGGGACTCCCTCTTCAGGAATTGTGGCCCAGGTGTGTTTAGCAGCCTGTGCACACTGCTGATAAGCAGCGTCTGGGAGTGCCATTTGACGTTCCAGGTCTGAATAAGGGCCATTACCCAATAGCATATCCTCTGTAATGTCTCCATGTCCAGCAATATGGTTCTGTCTAGCCTGGTCTGCACACAGTTCTTGCCAATTTAAATACCACGTCAGATATGCACTAGCAGACAAGCAAGTTTGAGCCAAGTGTTTTACATCAAAGGGTAGAAGACACATAGCACCAAATGCAGATTCTACCAATCCTAAAGTGAATGGGCTCTGTACCCCATTATTAGCTACACTCGTTACACTTACAGAAATAGGAAAAGTACAAGGTCCTAAGGGCTCCCCTTAGCTATGGCAGCAGAGCATAAAATTCTTTGTATTGGGGTCACTATTTCTGCTACCAAAGGAGGCGGTACAGATGTTTCTGCAACTGGAGGGGGCGGTGTAGGCCAATTTTTATCCTCCCTCTCCATTTTTTATTTTCAATTGGAGCTGTGGGTGGGACAACAGATTCTTTCAGATTTTTTAGACTCAGCCTGCTGTCCAGCAGAATAATAAGGAGATAGCAGAAGAACAGTACGAACTAGACTCCAAGTGGAGAAAACAGAAGAATCAACTTTAGGACCTTTTTGATGAGCCTGTTTTAATCCTTCTCCTGGTCTATCCCAATTTTCCACATCAAGAGTGCCTGCCTGTGGAAACCATGGGTTATGCGTAATAACCTTTTGTGGCTTCTGCAGGAGGTTAGTTAGTGCCTGCGAATTAACCTGAGCTCCAGACTGTCTCAACAGAACTTTAAGCAACTGCACATGATGTTTTTCTTCAATAGACAAATTCTGCTTCATGTTACCCTGATTCAGAAAACTTCCCATTCCAAGTACTTCTTTAGAGCACTGACCTTATATCGTTCCCAGTACCTCTTTAGGGCACTGACCTTCTATCTGCTGCCAGCAGACTCATCCTGGGGTCCCCGTTCATCTTGTCAATTTCAATTCCTCTGCTCCAGCAGAGCTTCTTCATTCACGTCTTCAAAGTCCCTGTGTTCAGATGCCACGTGTCCGACATCCTTGGAGTCCCTGTTCTGGGTCGCCACTTGTCACCTGCACAGACCTTGGGGGACTGAACAAAGGGGGCAAACATGGGAATAAAAGACAAAGACAAGAGAGCATATTTGAAAGAAGGGGTCAGGGGGCTCCTTGCTTCTGGTAAACAGGGGGCCTGAGCTTTAGAGCCCTTCACATTTATTAGGCAAAAGAGATAGCAAGAAGTGGGGGGTGATTGTCGGTTAGCAGTTTGATTTACAGCAGGCTTGCAAGACTGCAGTCTTTGAACAATAGGATCTAGATGTCCCAGTAGATAATCTCAATGAGCATGGCGCCAGGGCCCTCAGCAAACCTCCTGGCGGCAGGCGCAGTTGTGAGTTTGCCCACATCCTGCATTCATGATAAACAGTTTGCTGTTTGATCATATATCCTTCAGTGGAATGCTGAGTTGGTCACAATCCCTTTGGCCTTTTCAGCTCCCAACAGATGGGTACAATAGCAGAATGGAGATTGCAGGGAAACATGCCAGTGATCTCAAAGATAGAAAAATAGAAATTATCCAATCTGAACAACAGAGAAAAAGGACTGGGGGGAGCTGAACAGAACTTCAGGCACCTGTGAGACAATTCCAAAATATCTAATGTTCGTGTTACCAGGATCTGAGAAGAACAGGAGAAACAGAATGGAGCAGAAGAAAATATCTGAAGAAATAATGGCTGAAAACTTCCCAAATGTGGTGAAAGGCATACACCTATAGACTCAGGAAGCTGAGTAAACCACAAACAGGATAAACCAAAGGAAATCCAACCCCCATTTTTCAGGTTTTAGAACTTCAGGGAGGGAGTCACTTCCCCTTGTCATGAGGGATGCTTATGACTTCAGACTGAAATGATTCCCTGTCTCCTGTTACACAAAGAGAGTGAAAATAAATTTAATCAGTTCAGAATGATATTAAATGAAAGTCAGAATCTCCTGCTCTTTCTCCCAGTTCCATCTCTTAGAGTCACTCACTCTTTCTGTTTTTTGTTCTGGTTTGCTAAGGGTGATCCCAAAGAACTTAACTACTTAACAGAGTTGTTAATAACTAGGCTATATATAAACAGAATCTAAATTAATTTAGAAAGGAACTCTCCCAGTTACTTCAAAAAATCAGATAAATGCTTAATAAGTGCCCCTTGTCCCCAGGTCCAATTCATCTTAGGTCTGGTGGCAGAACTGATAGCTACATGCTTTCCTGTGTTTTCCCAAAGCACTGAGGAAGAAGTGGTGCAAATGTGAGGTTCTTGGGGAACCCCCATCTATATAAACAAAGCTTATATCCATGGATTGAGATGGCCACTGTCTCAAAGGCAGGTCTATGTTTTGAACCGATACCCAATTCAGAGCCATGAGAGAGACCACAGGATGAATGTGAGGCAAGCCTTATTCTGCTAGGCTTCAGGGAAAACGGAATCCAGGAACTCTCTCGCCCCTGGTTGCTCTCATTCTCCATCATTTATTCTCGCTGCAGTCTGATTTTCTCTAGGTGGTGTGAAGCAGTGTCCTGGCGACTGCTGGGGCCCTCTTTTTAATTTCATCTTTCGATCTCCATTCTTCCATTCTATGAGCACAGAACCTCTGATTTTAGTTGGGTGTGTGTACACCCAGAATGAAGACTTTATTCCCTAGCCTCCCATGCAGCTAAATTTGACCATATAACTAAGTTATAGTCAATGTGAAGTATAACGGGAAGAGATGTGTGCAATTCTAAGTCGTACCCTTAAAGGAAAAGGGAATGTACCCCCCATTCCTCCTTTCCCCCTTCCCACTAGCTGAGATGAAAATATGTTGGAGAGCCAACTTGGACCATGCATATGAGGGTAGGATTCTAAGGATGGGGAGCCACAAGTAGAAGAAGGATGAGTCCCTGGGCAGCCTGTGAAGTCCTACCTGCACTGAACCACCTGCCTCTGAACTGTTACATGAGAGAGACAGCAACTTCAGCCTCTTTTCAGCCACAGTTAATTTGGTTCTGTTACAGCCTGTATTCTTACTACATTAAAATTTCCAAAGCAGTCACGAGCTCACTGAGATTTTAGGAAAGGGGACATAGATGAGGGTTGGGGTGTCAAAAAACTGTGAGGTCATGTTTAAAACACTACAGGAGCTGGTATGGTTTAGTTCTGTGTCCCCACCCAAATCTTATCTTGAATTGTAATCCCTATAATCCTGAGGTCAAGGGAGGGACCCGGTGGGAGGTGATTGGATGGTGGGGGTGGTTTCCCCCATGCTGTTCTCATGGTAGTGAGTGCATTCTCATGAGAAATGATGGTTTTATAGGTGTTTGACAGTTCCTCTTCACATACTCTCTCTCATGCCTGCTGCTGTGTAAGATATGCCTGCTTCCCCTTCTGCCATGATTGTAAGTTTCCTGAGGATTCCCAGCCATGCAGAACTGTGAGTCAATTAAACCTCTTTCCTCCATAAATTACCCAGTCTCAGGAATTTTTTTTTTTTTTTTTTTTTTTTGAGACTGGTTCTCACTCTGTCACCCAGGCTGGAATGCAGAGGTGCAATCTTGGCTCACTACAACCTCCGCCTCCTGGTTTAAGCAATTCTTATGCCTCAGCCTCTCAAGTGGCTGGGATTACAAGCCTGTGCCACCATGCCTGGCTAATTTTTTTGTATTTTTAGTAGAAACTGGGTTTCACCATGTTGGCCAGGCTGGTCTTGAACGCCTGGCCTCAAGTGATCTGCCCGCCTCAGCTTCCCAAAGTGCTGGGATTACAGGCATGAGCCACCGTGCCCAGCCTCAGGTATTCTTTATAGCAGTGTGAGAATCGACTAATGCAGAAGCACACACACACACAGATCAGAGAAAGATTAGTCACATGTGCCTCCTTATGTCCTAGACCATGTCACAGTGTTCTCTTGCGTTACAGTGCCTCTGCAGGTACTGCTCCTTCTGCCTCCCCTTACCCCAACACATACACACAATTGGCCTTCTAACCTTGGCTAAACCTGGCTAAACCTGGCTAACTCAGGGAAATATCTGACCACATTCCAGACTAAGTGAGGCATCTCTGTTATATTAACACGCCCCTCACAGCATGTATTACTGTCTCATAATATTACAGATTTGAAACTTTACATTTATTCCGTATCTTTTTTTACTTAAACAGGTTATTTGATTATCTCTCCCACATCATACGTAGATTCTGTGAGGTCAGGGACTAAGTCTGACTCCTTCACCGCTGTATCCTCAGCACCTAGCACAGTACATGACATACAGAAGGTGCTTGTCAAAGTCAAAATAAAATATGGAGATGAATCTCTAAATGTAATGTTTTATTTGGGGAAGCGAGAATCGCAACTCGGAGCATACACACAGATCTGGTGGTCTTTGGTATGTCCGAAAAACAAAGAGAAGGCTGGGCGTTTTATTAGAAAGGGAAATGCATTGGCACTAGTAAAGTTTCAGGGAGCTGGCAAGCTCTGATTGGTGACTGACAGTGGTAAGTAAAACTAGTATTAGGTTATGGCGGGTTGTTTCAGCAGTTACTAGCTGAATCTGGTCTCAGGGGGACAGCAGGCCATTTCCGCAGCAGTTAGTGGAAATATTGGTTCTTGGAGCAGGCGCTGCGTGCCTCCAGTGCTTTTCCCCTGGCCCCTGGATTCTGATTCCGTTGGGCATAAGAAGAGTGACCCAATTCGTATTATCAACTTTCACATGCTCAATAAGAATGTATGCATGTAAGCTATGGGTGAGTGAATGAATTTGGACAACTCCTCCTCCAGTGAAGAAAAGCAGAACTTACAACCTTGAGCCACTTATAAAATACTAACATACTACCACCACCTGTGCGCTGTCTTCTCAGAACCATGCTCTTCCCAGGATGAGTAACTGTGTGCTTCTAAGTGGAAACCTGATGACAGTCACCCAGTCAGTGACTGGCGGACCCCCTATTATTACTCCCATTCTTTGGGCAGGGAGATGCTTAACCGGCTGGAAGCACAGAGGAAGGGCAGGAGAACGAAGCAAGTCACCCGGCAAACACAGCTGTATCCGGAGGCCTCCGGGCTTCCGGAGGTCTCGGGGCTTCTGGGCTTCCGGTCCCTCTTCCGGAGGCCTGGGTTTCCGGGACGTCGCGCGCCGTGTGGGGCGCGCACGCAGGGCTGGGCGTGAGGGGGCGTGCGCGTGCGCAGGCGACGCGCCGAGGTACTAGGCAGAGCCGTGGAACCGCCGCCAGGTCGCTGTTGGTCCACGCCGCCCGTCGCGCCGCCCGCCCGCTCAGCGTCCGCCGCCGCCATGGGAGTGCAGGTGGAAACCATCTCCCCAGGAGACGGTGAGTAGTGGCGCGCGGCGGCTCGGAGTACCTCTGCCGCCGCGCGCATCGGCTCAGCATGCCCGTCTCTGTCTCCTCAGGGCGCACCTTCCCCAAGCGCGGCCAGACCTGCGTGGTGCACTACACCGGTGAGTCGGGGGCCCAGCGGGGAGGGGGCCCGGGCCGCAGTCCGCAGCCCGGGTGCGGCTGGCCGTCGAGGCCTGGGGGCCCGGGGCCTGGGGTCCGGGGCGTGGCGGCGGCGAGGTCCGCATGGCCCGAGGCTGAGGCCTGGGCGGTGGCTCAGGGGCAGCCTGGGGCTTGCGGAACCCGGGCGGGTCTGAATCGGCGGCTGTGAGCGTCGGCTGCGGGCTAGGTGTTATCTGACCCGTCAGAAGCATTTCTGCACCTTAGATGCTGCCCTTATGCCCGCTGCACAGATGAGGAAACTGAGGCTTGGCGAGGCGAAGTCACTTTCCCAAGGTCTCACTTTCCCAAGGTCACACTTTCAGGAATGGGCAGAGCTCTGGCCAGGGACCATTAGGAAGGATTTGTACCATTTCTGTGCCCCTGCCCCCACTTCCATCCCTCCCTTCACTGGAGATGAGGACGAGGTAATTCCGAGTCTGCAGAGCTGCTGCTTCCTCCGGGGAACTCGGAATTCGCCCCTTTGCCTAGGGTGGGGAAACATCCCACTTCCTAAGTCATTGCTTTGGCCCTTCCTGGCCTTGGGGGAAGTAGAGCTGCACGGCCTTCTTCCGTCTTTTTACTTTTGAGCCACTTACAAATCCAAGGCTCAGTGACAGCGCTGGCTCAGGCTGACCGAAAGCTGCACGTGTAATTTAGTCCCCCAGCTCTTCTAGAAGTAGAGACTTTTCTCGTCCTCATTTTAAAGATAAGCATCTGGAGGCTAATACATAGTGATAATACAAGCCAAAGGAAATTTTAGACACCTCCCCCTCCCCAGCCAGAATTCAGACATCAGAGTCGTGTGCCTTGGGGCTGTCTTACTCCTTCTCCTTACAAGCTTGTCCTGGTTTGTATGGGGGCGGGGGAGGGGGAGAGCTGAGTTGGCGGAGACTCAGTGGCTGTGGGTCCCACAAGGGTGGCAGTGATTGGTGTAGCCACAGTTGTT
Organism: Homo sapiens; assembly: GCF_000001405.40. NCBI lineage: Eukaryota > Metazoa > Chordata > Mammalia > Primates > Hominidae > Homo > Homo sapiens. The sequence continues at coordinate 1,391,850 of NC_000020.11, read as the reverse complement.
GATACGAATAACCTTCCCTCCCCCTCCTCCTTCCCCTTTCTCAACCTTCCCACCCTTTCCTCTGTTCCCCCTCCTCCTCCCTCTTTTTTTCCCACTCCCTCTCCTCCTCTTCCTCCTCCTGGGTAGTAGGCTGTGGGCAGTTCTGGCCAAGTTGCTCACGAATAAGCTCCACCTTTCTCTTCCAAATCATGGAAACATGGAGGGATCCCTCTATTGAGGGAAATGACTTTCACTGGAAAGAGGAAAAGGCAACTAACATCCCCCCTCCCATGCCCTTTTATTTCTGTGGCCCTTCCCCGTGGGTAGAAATGGGGGCAGGAGGTAGAAGTTAAGGACTAGAACTTTAAAAATTCTGCCAAAGGAGGAGTTACTGAAACCCATCTTTCTGGGGAGCAGGCAGTCTCATGTCCGTGAAGGAAGCTGGAAAGTGCTTTTGATGTTTTAGATAGCTGTCCTTGTAGGCCACAGTCAGCACCTGAGCCTGGGAGGTCTGGTAGATGAAAGCGCATCCTTTTGGTGATTTGTCATCGGAAGGATGAGGAGAGTAACCATTTACAGTGCTGGGGTGAGTGGGCAGTTCATTCAGTTCCGCAGCCAACTGGGGCAAAGATTGGGACTCAAGCCGTGAGGAGCTGCCTTCTGCCGCACCCCCTCCCCACCCTAGCTTGTACATAGCCACACTAGGGTGCTTGGCAGCATGTGTCCCACTCCCACGTCTGCCCCTCATGCTCGCCCATGTTCTGGTGCTGCCAACAGGACTGGACCCCAGCATGTAGGCAGTGCCGCACTTCACCATGTCTCTTTGTGAAATATCCCCACACAGCATGTCTGGAGCCTTTTCCTATGAGAACAGATGGTCATGAGACCCAGAACACCATCAGGGTTTCCAGTGCCTCTTGAAGTGTGTGTTTTTCTCGCGGGTGGCACGCACCCACATGTTTCCAGAGCAGCAGCAGGACCCTGGCATGCATTAGGACAAAAGCTTTCTTTTTGATTTCGTTTTGATAAGCCCTATAAAGACGCCTTAGTGAGAAGCCAGCTCTGCCTCATGCTCACAGAATAGACTGTTTTCGAGCAGGCTGGTGGCTTTGTTCCCGTGGGTCTTTGTCACCAGCCTCCCAGGAATAACCTGTTTGAGACCTGTGGGGGCGTGAGAGGAGTGGGTAGGCACTGGGAGATCTCATCTGTAGCAGTTAAGGCTTTTAAGTCACTGGGAACAGAATCCATCTTGGGGGAACATGATCAGAAGGTGGAGGTTATAAAGGTTCCAGGGGTTTTCAAAGGCAGAAGCCCACTGGGTCCTAAGAAGGGAAAAGAAATAATCATGATGCCTCTAGTTCTCATCTCTGTTTTTTGGTTGTTGTTTTGTGTTTTGTTTTGTTTCCTGCCTGACTGCCTCAGTAGTCTCCTGTTAGAGATTTGTGTTTGTCTGCTTCTCCCAACTGGTGGGTGGTGGAAGTCCCCTGCATGCTCCCCCGTCCCCCCTCCCCCCTCCCCCCTCCCCATGGCCAGCTTCTCTGTCTTCTTTTGAGTATCTGGCTCAGATTTCTTGGCTGTGATTCTGATTGTTACTTCTCTGAGAAGGAGAGTTTGAGTAAGGTGAACACTCTTGATCCAGTCAGCTCTTGCCAGGTGTCCACTCAGCTGATTTGGGCACGGGTCCAGAGAAAGAGGGGTGGAAGTAAGGTGGCCAAAATCTCCCCTTAGCCATCACAGGTGTGCAGAGCACAGACTGACCTTTACCACATGGATGCTTTAAATGCCACTAATGGCTGTCAGTCACCTTGATGTCACTCTCAAGGGTCCCTCTGGTGACTTCCGTGACCTTCTGGCAGAGCACAGCATGAGCAAGGCCTCAAAGGAATGCCTGCACTACCTCTGTGGTACCAGAGGGAAAATACAAAGTTCACTATCACCAGCTAAGCATCTCCTAGGAGCATGACAGGCATTGAGGTGGGAGGGAGGTGGTGGAAAGGTAAGCTGCCAAGTAAGTGCCTTTAGGAGCCAGGGAATTCTCATGGCGCCTCCCTGCTGCCTCCAGTAGCTTCGTCATCTTTACTGTTAGCTTGTCCTGGCACACAGCTAGGTTTAGACCTCTTTTACTTACTTCAGCAGGCCGTGTGCCTGCCATTGTGAGAGCAGCCCCAAGGGGATTGAAGGAATGTTTTCTTTTTTCTTCTTAAAAAGTAACTAACTGGACATTTTGTCCTTGGGATCAGGTTTAAGTCAGGTATAGCCTCCCGGTTTCTGACTGAGAAAAACCAGGAGCCCCTCAACCTCATGTCCTCAGGAGGTTGACTGGGAAGGCTGCTGAGGCTCCCGGGACAGGTGTGGCCACTTTGCTGCAGCCTCCCTCAAGCCCCTTGCTTTTCCTTAGCTTTGTTCCCCCCTCTCCTCTGCTTTATTCCATCCACTCCCTTGCTAGGTATCTCTTGGTTGGTGATCTGATGTCTGGAGGGAGGCTCACCCTCAGCAGAGATGCCTCAGATGGCTTCCCCTGACGTGTGCTGTCTTGAGGCACACAGGCTGTAACTGTTGGGCAGGGCTGCAACAAGTCCCTTTGCCTTCCCACAGCAGATGTTTTTTGAGCAACAGCAGCAAGCCAGGCTCTAGGGACATGGCTAGTGAACTAAATAGACAAAGACCTGATCTGGTGGGGCTTTGCTTATGATGAGGAGACTGATAGTATGGCCATGGAGCACATCAGGTAGTAAGAAGCGCTGGAGAGATTAAAGCAGAGTGAGGGATGGGAAGGGAAGTTGGCTGCTTTTCGTGAGGGTGATTGGAAAAGGCCTCTGAAAAAAATGGCATTTTAACATTCACTCAAAGGACATTGGAGAGGGAGCTACAGGGCTGTCTAGAGTATCCAGGCAGAGGGAAGAGCTAGTGCAGGACCCTGAGGCTGGAGCCTGCTCGGTGCATTAGAGGAACAGTAAGAAGACCGGTGCGTTAGAGGAACAGGAAGTGGATTGTGTGAAAGGGTATGTGGCAGGAGATGAGGGGATGGTGGAGCCTCGTTGGTTTTTATAAAAACGTTGCCTTTTTCTAACTCAGGTGAGAGCCACTGGCTGGCTTGGCTTTTAATGCCCGCCCCCGCCCCCCCAACCCACGCTCCTTCTGGCTACTGTGTGGACAATGGGCTTTTGGGGGCAAAGGCAGAAACAGGACACTGGTTGTATCCCAGGTGTGTGGAGTGCCAGCTCAGGCAGTGGGCAGAAGTGGTGCCAGGTGGACAGTGATCCCCAAAGAGCATGTGGGTTCTTCGCTGTGTTCTGATCTTGACCCTGCCATACAACGGGCTATGAGAGCTTGAACAAATTGTCCCACAGTTCCCAGCTTCCACATGCTGTCTATAAAATGGGAGTAACGATGCCTGCTGTGAAGCAAATGCCTATCGAGACTACCCAGTTGTCTCCAAAGTGTTGCTCTTTTTTAAAACCACAGTTCCATTGAGCCTCACTCATCGCAGTTGTTATGTCTGTAATCTCAGTCTAGAAGAGTCCTTACGCTGTTTTTTTCTTAATAACTCTGATTTCTTCAAAGAGAGCAGGCTAGTTATAGAATACTCCACATCTGTCTTACTGTTTTCTCATGGTATTGTTTAACTTGTTCCCTGCCTTGATTTTCTGAACCGGATGTTTAATCTTTTAAGTGTCTGAATAGATTCCGTTTAAACATTTTAGTGTGAGTACTTCATCCTCAGCACACATGGGAAACATCACTAGTTGTGATGCTAAATTTGATCTTTTCTGTAAAGGTACATTTTTCCCTTTGCATTTAGCAGTGATCTGTGGAGTGCTTAGGTAGCCATAGATGGTCTCTTGCTCATCAGCCTTTCACCTAGTGGTGTTTACACCATCTGATCATTCTCCCCTGAAGAAGTCACTGGCATTCACAAAGTGTTGATTTTTAAAATTCCTTCATTCTTTCTAAATTTATTAGCTGTTATCCTTCTATAAGATAAGGTAAAGTAATTCTTTACCTTTAAATACCAAATTTTATTTTTATTTTTTGAGACAGTGTCTCTGTCACTCAGGCTGGAGTGCAGTGGCTTGATCATGGCTCACTGTAGCCTCGACCTCCCAGACTCCCATCCCGGCCTCCCATCCGGCCTTCTGAATAGTTGGGCATACAGGTGCATGCCACCTGTCCTAATTTTTGTATTTTTTGTAGAGACGGGTTTCGCCAGGTTTCCCAGGCTAGTCTCAAACTCCTGGCCTCAAGTGATCCACCCTCCTTAGCCTCCCAAAGTGCTGGTAGTACAGGCATGAGCCACCGTGCCCAGCCTTTAATTACCAATTTTTAAAATGAAAAATGAATGTTAACTGATGGGGTATTGCCATTCCCAGTGGGGGCAAGTGACTTTTTCCCCCTCTATTTGCTTTGACTGTACTGTGGGCTGAAATTTTTTGTCAGGGCCTTAAGATCAATGATACCCATTATTCTTTTTGATGCTAATATCATCCTAAATTTGGCCAGTAGGAGCCCTTTAAGCTGGCTCCAGTACCTTTTTGACAGGCTCCCACCATTCCTTCATCCATTTCTCGGTTTCACTACTCTGGTCCAATTATCAGCCATCTTTCAAAGAGCTCTGGTTCCTTTCAGTGGGGTCCATGACCTTTTTTTTTCTTGGTAACAGCTTTATTGAATATAATTTACATACCATAAATTCACCTATTTACTCATAGATGTTTTAACTAGAACATTTTTAGGCTTAAACTGATTTTTATGAATTACTGAGGGGTTTATTGTATCCATAAACTGGAAATCATTTGTCTGCCTTGGAATTTTCTCTAAAAATATTGTCACCTGCTGTTTCCCATGGAAGAAGCCAAGGTTATGAATAACTTAATCACATAGCATTCAGTTCTCCCTTTGGTGCTCATGGTGACATTTGTTTATTTTTACTTCTATTTTTTCTTCTGTTTTTTTGTTTTCTTTTCCTGCTAAAAAGCTTAACCAAGTCTCTGCATTCCCTCCCCTGGACCCCTTTGATTTTGACCAGGTGTATTCTAGCAGTGCAGAAAGTCGGGGAGGTAGAAATAACCAGTTCTTAGATGCTACTGTCTCTTTCTGTTACATTTGCTCTTCCTCTCCCAGGAGCTCAAGCCACCTTGGCCTGCATTCATTCCTCGAATGCTCCAAGCCTTTTCCCACATGGAGGTCTCTGCCCCTTTGCTTAGGTGCCACCACACTGCCCCCACTCCCCACTGCATGACAGGCTCTTTTCTTTATAGCACAGCTTAAGTAACACTTTGGATGCATACATGCATGCTTCTAATTCTGCAACAATGCACCCATCTATTTTCTTAGCCCCCATCATAGTCAGGATCCGTGTAGTTAAACATCTGCTCTTTCCCCAACCGACTGAAGGCTCCAGGAGGCCAGACCCACACTAGTGTTGTTCTCCAAGGTCTCCCCATCAGTCTTGGCATAGAGTAGCTATTCAGTGACTGTTTGAATGAGTGGCCAGTTAGGACCTGGCATTCCCTCGGTCACTCAGTGAATATATAAGGAGCTGGGCAAAGCCTCAATGTTGCCCTCAAGAAGCTTACCCTGTAGGGAGTGGTCAGTTACAATGAAAGTACCTCAGGCAACCTACACCTATAGGCTAGAACTTCTTGGAGGAAGTGCCATTTGGTCTTGGGTGTGTATGGTGCAGTCAGGCAGGAGGAAAGCGTCTTCCAGGTATATACACAGGCCAGGAGGAGAAAAGGGTACCTTTGATATTTCTGTAAGTACTTGATGAATGTCTGCTATGTACAAGACACTGTCCTGGCTACCAAGAATTTAGGAGTGAAGAAGACACAGTTCCTGCCTTCATCTCACACTGTAGTGGAAAAGACATAATAAATATGATTAATAAGCAAGACTGTTGTGTATAAGCTAGTAAGTGTTAAGGAGGGAATAGGAAAAGGTTGAGGTTTTAGATAGATTGGCAAAGGCCTCAATGAGAAAGTGACATTTGAGCAAAGACTTGAAGGAGGTAAGGATGTAACCTATGTGACTGTTTGAGCAAGATCATTTTAGGCAGAGAGAACAGCAAATGCAAAGGCCCACGGGTGGAGGTATCCCTGGTGTGTATGTAGAACATAAGGAAACAATGTTCTGGGACTGGAAAAGTACAAGAGTAATCAGAGGTGAAGTCAGAGGGATGGTGGTAGGGGCGGAGGCTTGACACTTCTTAGAGGGTCTTGTAGGCCATTTTAAGAGTTTTATCTCCTGAGATGGGGGAGTCACAGGAGTTTTTCAGCCGAGGGGTAGTAGGGTCTGGCTGCTGTGTCAGGTTTAGACTGTAGGAGAGCAAGAGCAGAAGCAGGGAGACCAGGGAGGGAGTTGTAATAATAGTCTGTAACAGAGGTCCAGAACTCATGCCTTTAACCATTATACCCTATAGAAAATGCATATTTCTACCACTTCCAGCTAGCTATTGTTAAGTGGTATTTCTTTTGATTTTTTTGGAGATGGAGTCTCACTCTGTCGCCCAGGCTGGAGTGCCCTGGTGCAATCTCGGCTCACTGCAACCTCTGCCTCCCGGGTTCAAGCAGTTCTCCTGCCTCAGCCTCCCAAGTAGCTGGGACTACAGGCGCACGCCACCATGCCCGGCTGATTTTTTGTATTTTAGTAGATACAGGGTTTCACCATGTTGCCCAGGCTGGTCTCAAACTCCGAAGCTCAGGCAGTCCACCTGCCTCAGCCTCCCAAAGTGCTAGGATTACAGGCGTGAGCCACTGCACCCGGCCTAGTGGTATTTCTTTCTCCCCCTCCCCATGCGATATAATGTGGTAGTAACTCCTCTTATTTATACTGTGATTAAAGTGGAAAATGGAGAGACACACCCACAGGGCATGCATTCTGGTCTGTGTTCTTTTTATTGCCGTTGGATCCTGCATATTCTTCCCATCATGGGCCCTGCCTTTGAAAATACACTTTTGGTTATAGGATCTAAAGGGATTTAGCCAAAGGTTAGAAGCATTTCCATACTGCGTATGGGAAATGTGCTTGCACTGTTGGTGATCTCAGGAAAATGATAGTGAGAGTGAGCTGGTTCCCTCTTTGGGTTGGCACTTGGACCTTTGGTCATACCCCTCACTCATAAGGAGTTCTCAGAACCCCACTTCAGGGAGGTTGTGCTGGAATACAGCCACAGAGACCCAGAAATGGAATAATAAGAATGTAAGATTTGAATTTGTATCTTTTGCCTATCTAAATGTAGAATCCCTTTTTACCCATCATGATTGAGACAAGTGGGTAGTTGGTATGCTAACATAAAAGTGACATGGCTTCTGTAAACATTTGATTTCAAACTCTAACATAAATCATTTGCTAAAGGACTATGTCTTTATCTTTGAGGATGGCTCTGCTAGTGGAGTTTCCCATCATAGTTCTTGCAAAAACCAATTTGACCTTTTTTAAAGTAGAGCAAAGAGTATTGTGAGAACATTTAAAAACCAAACCTTTCCAGATTTTTAAGATTTCTTTCTCTAAATGTAGTCTCCCATATGATTATTCACTAGCAATAGTTTTTTAGTGACTTGCCTTTATTGAGTCTTTCCCAGGAGTCAGCTAGAACCGCTGTTTGTATTCACACTCATTTTATTGATTTACATACTATTTAATTACATTATATTTACACAGTAAATATAGCTACCATAAATGGATTTGGGGACAAACACAGCTAACCACTCCTCCCTTTGTGAACACAGAACTCATATGGGAATGAAGAAGTGATCATGAGCTAGAGACTAAAGCATGAGGGGAGTGCTCTTCACTATGCTGGGGTACGAAGGCTGTGAGTTTTATGAGTCTCCAAGTAAGGCAGCTGAGTAAAAGGTGGTTAAGAGAACTTCTGTGTCTAATAAGAAGAGGGAAAGCAAACAGCTAAACCATTAGACCTTGAGCCATACGCCCATCTGGGAATGTTCTGAGTGGCTTCAAATGCAAAGCTGCAGAAAAATACTGGCTCCCCCTACCTCCACCCATTCAACCATTACACCTTTTTTTTTTTTTTTAAGAGACAGAGTCTCGTTCTGTTGCCCAGTCTGGAGTGTACTTGTGCGGTCATAGCTCACTGCAACCTCAAACCTCTGGGCTCAAGTGATCTCCCACTTGATCCACTCAAGTAGCTAGGACCATGTCTGGCTAAATTTTTTTTTTTTTTTTTTTAATTTTTTGCAGAAACAGGATTGGGGACATGAGTCTTGCTGTGTTGCCCAGGCTGGTTGCAAACTCATGCCAGTCTCAAACTCCTGGCCTCAAGTGATTCTCCTGCCTTGGCCTTCCAAAGCACTGGGATTACAGGCATGAGCCTCCTCCGCAGCTGGCCTCATTGTACTTTTTGTCATTAAGAAACTCACCTGCGTGTTGAAAGTAGAAATCCTTTTCCCTCTCCAAACTGTAAATGGCAAGGACTTTATTTTATTTTGAAGGTTTGGGGCTTAGGATATTCTGGTTTTTTGTTATGTTTGATTTTTGGTTTAGTTTAGTCATTTTTTTTTTTTTAATCTTAAAACTTCCCATATTTTGTCCCTGTAAAATGCTGCCTATAGGAAACACTCCTGCAAAGATTCATGAGCAACTATAAACTGCATTGTGAGTCATGAGCTTTCACTACAAGTAGTGAAGCCATAAGTCTGTAGAGGTGCCTTCTTCAGTCCTGTTACCCAGTAGAAGGTATATGGCACTCTGCCCTTCCCCAAAGCAGAGTGCCTTGGAAGTGACTCCATTTCTATTGGGTTATTAGTGAAATAGTATCCCAGTGGTCCTTGTGAATCTCCAGGTCCTGGTCTTGAGTCTTAACCACCGCTTCAGTGGCTTGAGCCAACCACCAGGAACACAGTCTGGGGATACTTTGCTGCCCAGGAGCTGCTGGCCAGGTCTCCCTCTGCTGATTCCTTGAAAAGCAACAGGAAAGAGCAGGCTGCTGTGGAGTAGACAGACTTGAGACTCTCTGCACCGTCTTGTTTTGTAAACCCTTTTGCTCCCTTTCCAAGGATTTCAGTTCAGGAGGAGACCCAGGCGAAGATGACGTCAACAGCCTCTGCATGCAGTCAGTCATAGCTTTGGCTTCTTTCATGGTCTTGTGCTTTTAACTGGAGCACATTTTCACATTTTTCTTACTGATTAGTAACTAAAGGTGCTTAAAGTAAAGTTTACCATTCTGGGATTACCCCTCATATTCTTGTTACCATATAGGGAAGAAGGTCTAAATATGAAGGCCTCATGCTTGTCCTTCTGGTTCTTAAAAATCATGCAAGTAAAGCAAATCCAAGAGTGCTCTTGAGTACCAGCACCATACGTGCCACCAGGACACAGAACGCAGGCCAGGTCTGTGAGCTTGGGCTGCATTCAGTCAGGAGAGCCAAGACTAAATACTTAAAATAAGAATATGGAGCTATTCCAGGCAGTTTGTTAGGCATGAGTTATAGGCTTGTACGGCCAGGAATGAAATTGGTCAGTTCTGCAATTAGAAGGCAATGCTTGTGATGTTTTATGCTGAGTGGCCTTTAGAGCTTAAAGACTGTCAGCTGTCTTGTCTGCACTGTAACCTCAGTTGCCTTCTCTGAGCAGGGCACGCTTTCTTTAGGAAATTATGGCACTAACTTGGCAGGTGGTTTCACTGTTCAAGGGCTCCAGCTCCTGGCACAAGTGATCTCCAGAGTTAAAATTGGAGCAGCTGCTGAGACTTGACTTGCTGCCTGCTTTACCTGTTCCCTCCCCAAAGAGAGGAAGCACTTTTCATTCATTGCCAGTGTGTATGTGGGAGCTAAACATATATAGCATTTTAGTAAATGCCACTGCCTACTCTTTTTCTTTTCCTTTTTTAAAAAAGTTACTGAGGCGTGATTGAAATCCAATATACTGCACATTTTAAAAATGTACAGCTTCATAAATTTTGATGTGTCATTGTTTCCCTTTGAATTCACCCCTCCTTACCCTCCTCTAACAACTACTGATATGCTTTTTTGTCAGTGTAGATTTGTTGCATTTTCTAAAGTTTTATATAAATGGAATCATACAGTACGTTCTCTTATGTCTGCCTTCTTTCACTTGGTATAATTATTTTGAGATTCATCTGTATTGTCCCATGTATCAATTGTTTGTTCCTTTTTGTTGCTAAATATTTTTCTATATATAGAAACATGTATTTACCAACTTACCCGTTGGTGGATGTTTGGGTTAGTTTATAGTTTTTGACTATCGCTAATAAATCTGCTTTGAACATTTGTGTACAAGTTTTTCTGTGGACATAGCCTGTCATTTCTCTTGGATAAATACTCAAGATCAGAATGGCTGGGTCATATGGGAGGTGTATGTTTAACTTAACTATCAAGCTGTTTTCTGAAGCTTTATGTTATATTCCCACTAGCAGTGTATGAGAATACCAGTTCCTTCACATCCTCACTAACACCTGACGTGGTCAGTCTTTTTAGCTTTACTCATTCTAATCAGTGGTGGTAGATGCGTTTCCTAGTGGTTTTAATTTGCGTTGTTATAATAACTAGGAATGTTTAGCATCTTTTCATATGCTTACCTGCCCTCTGTCTTTTTCAATGAAGTATCTGTTCAAATCTTTAGCCCTTTTTTATTGGTTTTCTTAATTGTTGAATTTTGGTTTGTTATATTCTGGATATAAGTCCTCTATCAGATATGTACTTTGCAAAAGTTTTCTCCCAGTGTATGGTTTGTCTTTCATTTTCTTAACAGTGCTTTTTAAAGTACTGAATTTATTTTGATGAAGTTCAATTTATTCTTTTATAGATAGTGCTTTTTGACATCATACTAAGAAATCTTCACCCAACTCGAGGTCACAAAGATTTCTTTCCTATGTTTTCTTCTATAAATTTGATAGGTTTAGTACTTAACATTTAGGTCTAGGATCCATTTTGAGTTAATGCTTGATAATGGTGTGAAGTTTTTACTGTGTTATGTGTGGATATTTTGTCATTTCAGCCCAATGTAATTTTCATCTCAGACATTGTAGTTTTCATCTCTGAAAGTTGGAGTCTTATGGTTCTCCTCTACTAATTCTAACATTTGTGTTAGTTCTGGGTTGCTTTCAATTGATTGATAAGTCTCCTCATTGTGGGTCCTGTTTTCTGCCTCTTTGCATGCCTGGTAATCTTTGGATGCCAGACATTGTGAATTTTGCCTTTTGGGGTGCTGGATATTTTTATTCCTATAAATTTTCCTGAGTTTTATACTGAGAAGCATTTAAGTTACCCGGAAACAGTTTGATGCTTGCGAGTCTTGCTTTTGTGATTTGTTAGGTAGGTCTAGAGCTCAGTTTAGGGCTGATTATTTCCTACTATAGGCAAGATCTTCCTGAGTATTCTGCCCAGTGCTTTGTCAATCATGAGCTTCTCCAGTTTGACCGGGGGGTAGTAAGCACTAATCCTAGCCCTGTGTGAGCACTGGATACTGTTCCTCTAAGCCTTTTGGATAGTTCTTTTCCTGGCCTTGAATAGTTTGCTCAGATACATGCACTGAGAGGGACTCTGCTGAATACTCAAAGAGGACCCTGCAGATCTCTGGGGATCTCTGTATAGCTCTCTCCTGCTGGTACTGTGTCCTATGGACTCTAGGTGCCTTGAGCTCCACTCCAGGTCCCTCTCCCTGGAAACTCCCAAGGATATAGGGCTGCCCTTGTTTCCCATGTCTCAGGATTTATTGTTCTTCATTACAGATGTCTGGTGTCCTACAAACCATCGTTGTAGCTATTTTGTCTAGGTGGTTTTTAGGTTTTAGTGGACTTTTTGTAGGGAGGAAGGGGTTGGTTGGTTGGTTGTTGGTTGTTTCATGAACAAATCTGATCCTTGTCCTCCACCGTGACCAGAAATGGAAGTTCTCACTATCTGTTTTGACATTACAGACTGAACAGCATAATTCCTACACATGCACACTCATTCCAGCTTAACAAACACTGCTTCCACCTTCTCCCCCAGGCTGACAACTTAGGGCCATAGATAAGTGGCCTGTTCCTCCCCACTGGGGAAGCCCTCCTTCTCCTTGTCCTGTAGCTTGTGCCAGTTGTGTGACACCCACTTAATCACATACCACCCCACCCATTTCGGGGGATTATTGTTTAGCTTTCGGACTCGATTATGGGAAATCCTCTCCTTGGACTCAAGGAACCCCAACATCACTGCCACCACCCAACCCTGCCCTGCGAAGATTTCTCCTTAGAAAGTAGATGAGATTGACAGTTGGTGACTGTGGTCTGAAATTCTGGAGCAAGTCTCATGCCCCTTTCCCAGGGACAACAGAGCATCCAAAATAGCATAGGAAAATTAAGATCCTAGGCAAAGGTCCTGTTTAAAGCTCCTTTACTTAGAAATCCTGCTTCCTGGCTTTTATGGTTTTAAGATACTAGGGAGAGGTTTGCCCCTCAGTGTCCAAGATAGGCTCAGGAGAGCTGGGGTTAGACAGGCATCCTCACATAGAGCCACTGAAGAACATACACATCTCCATGCTGGCTCAGCAGCAGCAGCAGCAGCAGATTCAGGCTGTGTCCTGCCTAGTGCTCCTAGCCTGGTACCAGTCAGATAGATAGTTGAAGTATCTCACCTCAGGCAAAGCAACATTGATACATTGATGCATGTAGTGTCTGGAGGTTGCTTGGCATTGCATTTGATCAGGAATAAAAAGGAAGTTTAGGGAGTCTGTCTCAGTACCCTGTGGCTTTCACTGCAATCAAAATACGATCTTGCACAGGTCAGAGCCGTGTTCAAGTTTGGCAAGAAATAAGGCTAATTTTTTATAGGTATACCGTACTTTCCAAATTGTGGGTTATGAACCATTAATGCATCATGAAATAAATGTAGTGGGTCACAATCAGCATTCTTTTTAAAAATGAGAAGTATATGCCATGTAGTAACTTACATGTAAATTTTGTTTATACACAGACAAAATGTGGGTGTGTACTGGGTCCTGACATGAGACACTGTTCCCATTGTCGCGGATCAGGGATAGTTCTTTGTGGTTTTAGTTGTTGAGTTCTGTTTCTTTGTTATTCCTTTCGTGGCAGCACTACATTGTAGCGTGCTCACTAAGTGTCAGAGGTTTACCTCACGCCAGTTGTGTTCATTTGGCTGCAGGTAACTGAAGACCCAACCTAAGGCAAAGCAGACTTCTTTATTTTTGTAAGACTTCATTAAGAGCAGTTTCAGATTCTCAGCAAAATTGAGAGGCATGTACAGAGATTTCCCATATATCCCCTGGTCCCACACATGCATAGCCTCCTGTTATCAACACCCCCCACTAGAATGGTACGTGTGTTGCAATTGACGAACCTGCATTGACACATCATGATCACCCAAAGTCCATAGTTTACATTAGGGTTCACTCTTGGTGGTGTACATTCTGTGCATTTGGACAAGTGTATAATGGCATGTATCCATTATATATAGTATCATACAGAACATTTTCACTGCCCTAAAAATTCTCTGTGCTCCATCTGTTCTTCCCTCCCTCTACCCCTGACTCCTGGCAATCACTGATCTGTTGACTGTCATCCTAGATTTACCTTCAAAGCACACTTTTAATCACCTCAGAACATGAGTCTTGAGGGAAGTGGTTTGGGGCTGATTCAGAGCACTGGAATGACCACCTTGTGGTACGCCTGGCCTTCTGATAGTCACAGGGTGACTGCCATGCTCCAGACATCTTATCCTCACACAGCATTCAACAGGGAGGGCAGGAACTTTCTTCCCGAGTCTTTGTTTTTCTTTTTACTAATGAGGTGGGACTTTCCTGGAAGATCCCAGTAGACTTCACAGCAGGTAAAGTAGTGCCCAAACTGACCCGTATAGGGGAAGGGCTTGGATTGATTCGAGTTCATCTGCTGGGCCAGGCTGTTGTTGCTGTCGTTGCTCCTGGGAAGTTGTTGTTTAATTAGGAAGGTGAGGGTGCCACACAGCCTTGCTTCCAGGTGGCCCCTCTGGGCATGTTTTTCTTAAAATAACAGACCAGAGAGAAGCTCTTTCTGGTTTTCAGTCTCCTTTGTGGCTCACAGGCCCTGCCACTCCGTGGTTCTGACCTTGGGTGGGTTACTGAGCCTTGGAGTCGGTTTCCTTATTTCTGTTACAAGCAGTCTCACGAGGGTGGATGGAAAGGCTCCCTGCCTGGCCAGGGAATGGAGAATCATAGCTGTTCATTGCCTGCTCTCACCCTTACCTCTGAGGTTGGTTGGGTTGGGTTCCATGTAAGAAGTGCAGCTTGAAGTGGGCTAAAGGCAGTGTGTTTATTGGGTATTGTGGAGCCTGGAGACCTGTTTTTCTCCCAGGTACTCATTTATAGAGAACTGTTCAAGTCCTGCCATTAGTCATTTCTTTCATCAGGTGGTGACTGCATTCTGGTAAACGAATGAGCTAAATGCATACCCCAGCTCACCAGTTCTGGGGCACCAGTTCCTTGGAGCAGGTACCGGTCCCCACCCTCCTGTCTACCTCTTAGTCCTCAGCTCCCAGCTCCAGGCTTCAGGCAGCATTGGTACCCATTCTGCCCCAGGACATCCGTCTCTACTCCTGCTCTATTAAGATACCACCACCCAACCCCCACCCGTTTCTTACTTTGTTAAAGTCCACATAGTCCAGTAGCTGTGATAACACTGCCAATTCATCTCTGCCTCCCCATCCTACTTACAAATGTTGACACTGTTTTTTAGGTTGGGATTTTTGTCAGGATTTTCTTTTTTTCCTAAACTCTTACACAACAGAACTGTAATGTTTTTATGGATCTTCTGAGTAATGAATGCTTAGAACCATGGTGAGTGCCCACCCTCAGTCTTCCAGTAAAATCAGTTTTGTGTCCATTATATGTTAACCACTGGCTGACCCTCCAATCTGGGATCCTAATTAGAGAATTCTCAGGAACTCAGTGTCAGCTATCACAATAGGCTGGCAGTGGCTTCCTGAGAAAGCAATGCCGATGGTGTTTTTGAAAAGGAAGTTGCAGATATCTATTGCAGATGTCTGTTCCTCTTTTCTCATAGCGTCTCTGGAGTTCCCCTTTTATTGGAAGGCGCCGTCGTGGCTTGTCCAGCTTCTGGGAAACTGGAATAATAGAAAGAGCATGGTATTTGGGTTTATAATTTATAACGTAGTTTTACTATTTTACTAAATTATAAATTTACTATTTTTATAATAGTAAATTTTACTATTTACTATTTTCACTTCTCCCTGTCTGCCTCAGTTTCTTCATCTGTGAAATGGGGATAGTGCTGTGGAGAAAGAATTGCATTCGTTCATGTGTGGAAAGCACCTAGCCCATTTAGAGTAACTCAGAGTGGAACCACTGGCCACAGAGTTGCTAGCAGTTGGCTGGGTTTACTGAGTTAATTCTTGAAGGGCCACCACTGCAACCTCCTTAGTATTCCTGTTCTCTTCAGTCATCTCTGTTACAAAGTATTAGCTGTGCAAAAATGAGCATGGGTTGTTTTGTGGGGCAGCATTGGATAAAATAAGTGGGATGAATGCTGCACAAATTCTTTCTTTCATTTCTCTATTTCAGCCTAGGTTGGTTTTTACTTTCCCAGGAAAATTATGACAACTCAGGAACCAGCCTACAAGGGGCCAGCTTTACGCCCCAGGTTCCCTGTTGGTGTGAGACACTTGGCACTAGAATGAGGGTGAAAGCTTGCCTTATAGCTTCCTCTTACCACATCCCATAGTGCTGACCCACAGCCTGGAGAGCAGCAATGTGTGTAGGTCACAATTAGTGAACCACAGAGGAGCCCATGGGGGTGGCAGATGGTGGAGGGGGATTTGCCTGCACTGAACAATGGAGGAGCAATATATACACACATTATATGTGAAAGATGATGGGGGATTTTGGGAAGGAATATTGCTTCTTGCACTGTGTGTGACTTCTAGACATAGTGTGCACCTCGAGGGACCACAGTTATTTTTAGCTGGGGAGAAAATCCACGGGGTGCTGGGAGAGTCAGGGCAGGAGGAAGTTTATACTCCCCATCTCCAGAAGAAGGTGGACTGCCGCTCATCTCTGGTACGCGGGGTCCTTTTGTAGTCGAGTTATTGCTTGGAGTCAGGGAAGAGCATTCACAGGTCTGGAGTAGGACTGTCGCAACTCCTTAGATGTCCAGTGAGGTCACAGGAAACCCTCCCTAGATACTGCAGTTCCTGCCAGACTCTTCAGCACTGGCATCTCTGATGAGTGCTCTGCTGCTGGTTTCTGACTTGTCTTGTGTCATTACTCTGCTGCTCATGTTACAGTCGTCTTTTTCACAGGGATGCTTGAAGATGGAAAGAAATTTGATTCCTCCCGGGACAGAAACAAGCCCTTTAAGTTTATGCTAGGCAAGCAGGAGGTGATCCGAGGCTGGGAAGAAGGGGTTGCCCAGGTATGCTCTCTCATTTGTTTTGTTTTGCTTTCTAGTATTTACCTTTTATATTTTTTTATAGGTGGCATATTTATACGGTTCAAAAATAAAAAAAGTGAAAAGTCTCACCCTCATGCCATCCCATCTGACCAATACCCCCACAAGAAGCTCCTGTTGTTAATGTTTCTTGTACTGTGGTTTAAGCACATATAAAAACATAACTTTTTTCTTGCTTTCACACACATACTGTTTTGCAGTTTACTTTTTCACTTAATGCATTTTTGACACTTGCAATACCACTACATAAAAGAGGAGTAGGCTGGGCGCGGTGGCTCATGCCTGTAATTCCAGCACTTTGGGAGGCCAAGATGGGTGGATCACCTGAGGTCAGGAGTTCCTGTAATCCCAGCACTTTGGGAGGCCAAGATGGATGGATCACCTGAGGTCCGGAGTTCGAGACCAGCCTGGCCAACATGGCGAAACCCCATCTCCATTAAAAATACAAAAATTAGCCGGGCGTGGTGGCAGGTGCCTGTAATCCCAGCTACTTGGGAGGCCGAGGCAGGAGAATCACTTGAACCCAGCAGGCGGAGGTTGTAGTGAGCCAAGATTGTGCCATTGCGCTCCAGCCTGGATGACGAGAGCGAAACTCCATTTCAAAAAAGAAAGAAAAAATGAGGAGTAAGCTCTGTTACAGCTGCCTAGTATTCGTTTATGTAAGTGTGCTATAATTTACTTGGCTAGTGCCCTATTAATGAGTATTTGAGTCATTTCCAGTATTTTGCTATTATAAACAATGCTGCAGTAACTCACCTTGTACAGACTTCATTTTCCACGTGTGCACATGTTGCCATAGGACTTACTCTCAGAAGTGGGATGAGGGGCTCAAAAGCTGTGTGTAGTGTTTTTGAGAGGTCTTGTCAAGTTACCATCTCTAGGGGTTGCACTCTGGACTGCCACCACCAGGCTATAAAGGTGCAATCTCCTCCCAGCCCCAGCATCACAGTATATTGTTAAATCTTTGGCCTCTGGACAATAAGAGTAAAACATGATATCAGTGGTTTTAATTTGTATTTATCTATTACCCATATTGTGTGAGACCACTTCTGAGACGTCATACTTATGGAGAAAGTCATTTCGTTTGTCTTGAGTGTGTTTCCTAATCTCTTTCCTCCCCATTTGTGGAAACAGCTTTTGTTCTGCCAACACTACAAAATTCCCAGGAGACAATAGGGACCCAGGGTTGCCAAATTTTAGTTGGATTCTGTCTTTCCATCAAACCTAGGAATTTTTTCTTGGCTCTAACCAGGTAAAGGGATGTTTTTCAGTGACCTGAGACCCAAGGAACTTTATAATTAGGCTCTGCATGATGGGTAATTAGTCTGCTTCCCTCTCACCCAGGAGAATTAGAAATTTAACCAAGATGAAAAGACAGATTTCTGTCTCTCTCTTTTCCAGAATACACATTGCTCTACTTCCTCTATAAAATATCACTGATTTATCTCCAAATAAACTGCTCAACTTTCAGGAACTTGAAGCCATCCCACTCCCAGGTGTCTGGGTTTCTGTTCCTGCAGGGCAGAGGGTTGGCAGTGTGAGGAAGAGGCTTTGTAGTTTACTTCCCTTGGGAAACCTTGCCAACCATAGCTTTTTGCCTCTGTCTCCCTAGTCTGTCTGGCTCTTGGATCTGTAGCCCATCCCCCATCTTTCATGCCAGCCATTGTTCATACCACAACCCATCTTCTGTGACTGCTCCAGCATTGGAACAATCACTGCGTTGTATGTACTGAGTGCTGTATCTGCCATCGAGATAGTGTTATCGGCCTACTTCACTTCCCAGGCTTGGAGAGGCATGGTCGAGTATTGGACAGATGCCTGACTCCCCCTTTAACTGGTATTTTGGGGTCAGTCACAGCCCTGTCATTTGTGAGAAGTCTGGGTAGTTTGAGATCTACATAAAATATCTTTTAAATTCTTCATAGCATATTTTTTCACCAAGTGAGTTAAAAACACAGGAAGAAGGGGAGATTGACTTGTGACCCTTTTCCTTTCCTTTTGATATTGTTTTGGTTTTACATGTTTGCAGGCGTGGAGTCCTGCCTGCCACAAGGACCATTTTGGCAGCTTTCTTTCATCCATCTTGGACATCTTTTCATGTTAATACATTTAAAGCCACCACTATATGATTTCTCATGACTAATCCCTGGTGTGGATATGCCTATGAAACCACTCCTTCTGTGATGGACTTTTGAGTTGTTAGCAGAATATTCTGGAAATAGAATTGCTGAGTCAAGGAATATGATTGTTTTGAATTGTACAAGGTAAAGCCATACCTCACTATCCTTACCACCTTGGTCCAACATGTCCCAGCTTCTGAGGGGAGCAAGGACTAGACGCTTCACAGCCTGGAGCTTCCTCTTTATTCATCCTCTGTCTGGTGGAGTTGGAAAGTCGGGAACATACACATGGAGACCAAAAGCAGAGATAAGTCAAAGGATGGAAATACTGCAGAGAACCTGCTCACTGTTCAGAAAGTAGATATTTTATACTTATTTGTGTATTTAATTTGAAACTGAAAATATACACAAATATATTTTTTAAAGTAGAAATCTCTCCTTACTGGTCACTCACTATCCATACTGTTCTCCTCACAGCAAATGTCTGGTATGTCCTTCCAAAGATGTTTTCTGTTGTAGGCATATCAATATTTTCACAAATGGTATTCAGTAAATGCTATTTTGTAGCCCAGAAAATCATATTGTCTTTTTTGAAGTTTTCCTATATGGGTAAAAGAGTATAAATAGAAAAAATACAGAAAAAATAGACTACCCTCAAGTATTACTTCCTGTGTATATATTTTTTTAAAGCAAAGTTGAGTATTCCTTTTTCAAGAAGAGCATAGATGGCACTTAACATGTCCTTTAAGTGACAGATCACTGAAGGGGACTAGGTGGTGAGACATCTGGAATGTTACCTGCCTAGCATTAGTCATTAAGACTTGCGTAGAAAGGTTGAGGGCCTGACCGTTCTGAGAGTCAGGAGGGGTTTTGAACTGCCATTGGGCTTCTTGGAGTGAGATGCAGGGGTGATGGAATATGACTGCCAACCTCCAAGTCCTGCACAAGGAGGTGGTGATGCCTGGGCAGCTGCAAAGTCACTGGAAAGTCAATACCATCCTGGCCAAGGAACACCTAGGTAAACAGCTCTTTTTCTTACAGAGACAGTTGGGGCATGTGTCCAGCTGAGTCTGTCTTCCTTGTTCTTTTCACAGATGAGTGTGGGTCAGAGAGCCAAACTGACTATATCTCCAGATTATGCCTATGGTGCCACTGGGCACCCAGGCATCATCCCACCACATGCCACTCTCGTCTTCGATGTGGAGCTTCTAAAACTGGAATGACAGGAATGGCCTCCTCCCTTAGCTCCCTGTTCTTGGGTAAGGAAATGGAATACTGAAGGGCCCTTCACTGCCTTTGCTCCTCCCATGTTATGCCCAGCGTTTGATGGGTAGCAGAGAGAACAAAAAACACCACAAGGCTATTTTTCCCCCTGCATTCTTTCTGTATTGAGTATCCTTTCAGTGTTATTAGTGTATGCTTTGAATGTAAAAATTGGTCACCCTAAGGAAAGGAATTGGCATGTGTATGTTCCCAGTTCAACTCATGGAGATGGCAGCTGTTTAAATGTTTTTCTATGTAGTTTATAAATTAAAACTGAATTGAGGACTATGGAAATGTAGGCCAAATTTGTAGTGCCAACATTTTAGTTCTTTGGAAATAAGACTCTTAATGAATGACTTTGTTCTACCCTGTGTTTCTAGAAGCTAGAGGGGGAAAAAAAAAGCCCTTTGGATATGAATATCATGTCCTAGCTTCTGCGGCTCTCTCTTCACTGTGGTTTGTGGTTACTGCCTATTAGATGGTATGAGGGAGGCATTCCTGCATCGGTCCACCTGCTCAGGGTCCACACCCAGGACACTTGAGGCCCCCAGGCCAGCTTATCAGTGAGTGAAGTGGAAAAATGAAGCCAGAGGATGCTTGTGAAGTTGAAAGGATGCTCTTAGATCAGACAGTTCTAGGAAGGGATCTTAGGGGCCTCTGCATCAGCTTTATTGTGCAACAGTAAGGAAACAGGGCCAGAGAGAAAGGCCTTACTCAAGGTCACATCCAGGCAGTGGCAAAGTAGGACCAGAGCCCCTGTTTGTTGATTTTCCCCTCTTCCACCCTCATTTCTTAGGAACTAAACTCAGTATCCTAGTAGCACGTAACTTTTCATGTAAGTGTTAGAATCATTAAGTACATGAATGCTACTGGCTTCCTTCCAACTGGCCCCAGACCTTTTTATTTGCTCCCCTCCTGCCATAGGAACCAGAGGGTCACAGCCAAGGCCTGGGTGAGGACACTTTTGTTTGAAAGCCACAACAAATGGCTGCCATCCTATTTGTGATGGCAGTCAGAGCTACTTGTAACCTGGTCCTGTTGTGCACATCTGTAAGTGGAGGGGCTTTTTAAACTCTCTGTTTGAACCACACACACCTTGGTAATACAGGCCTGGTTAAGTTTGATAACTGGTTTCTTCACCTGTCATTGCTACTGGGAGGGAATCCCTGGCACTTTACAGGGCCTTTGTCTGCCCAGAGGTCTGCACCTAGGCCAAAATCCCTTTCCTGTTCTTTGAGAGCTGAGTCATTTTTTGAACATAACTGTACTCGAGGGAGCCTTGGAATTATTTTCCTGGTTGGGAACAGGCTTTCTGTAAACTTGATGAGGTAGAGGGAGGGGAGAGAGGGATAAAGGCTACAAGTCACCCCGAGTAACCCTCCCAACCCACTGCCAAAGAATGTCTCAGCTTCTTGCAAGAGTCTGGAAGGAAAATCCAAGGGCAAACCCAGAAAGTTTTAAGTTGAGTGAATGAATGAATACTGGAGATATTTTCCCAGTATACTCAACATTATGAATGACCAGTTTATTCTCAGTCTGGACTGCACATGAGAGTCACCTGGGAAATTTTTAAGACTTTCCTGATGCCCAGGTCAAACCCTAAACCAGTTAATCATAATCATGGGAGTGGAACCCAGGCATTAAGAGTTTTTTAAAGCCCCCAGGTGATGCCTATATGTAGCACAGTTTGAGACCCAATGATAGTGGGGAACTGTATTGTCAGCAGCATGGGTGGCTAGCCCTCCTGCTGTCCTCAGCAAGGCAAACTTAACCTTAGATTAAACAAAACACACAGATCAATTTAAGGAGAAAGTTTGTTTCACCTGGGACCCAGCCCAAGTCTTTCTGGCTGTCTCCAGCTGGAACAGAAGTGGCTTGGTCTCAGACTGCTCAGCTGTTGGGGAAGGGATTTGGCGTGGCAGATGGCATCGTGGCTGTCGCCACTGCACACAAAGAACACTGAGTTGCTGGAAACTCACAGATTTTCTGTCCCCAACAGATCTGCCATGGAGGGATCTGGTGCCTCCAGACATGTGCACATGAATCCATATGGAGCTTTTCCTGATGTTCCACTCCACTTTGTATAGACATCTGCCCTGACTGAATGTGTTCTGTCACTCAGCTTTGCTTCCGACACCTCTGTTTCCTCTTCCCCTTTCTCCTCGTATGTGTGTTTACCTAAACTATATGCCATAAACCTCAAGTTATTCATTTTATTTTGTTTTCATTTTGGGGTGAAGATTCAGTTTCAGTCTTTTGGATATAGGTTTCCAATTAAGTACATGGTCAAGTATTAACAGCACAAGTGGTAGGTTAACATTAGAATAGGAATTGGTGTTGGGGGGGGGGTTTGCAAGAATATTTTATTTTAATTTTTTGGATGAAATTTTTATCTATTATATATTAAACATTCTTGCTGCTGCGCTGCAAAGCCATAGCAGATTTGAGGCGCTGTTGAGGACTGAATTACTCTCCAAGTTGAGAGATGTCTTTGGGTTAAATTAAAAGCCCTACCTAAAACTGAGGTGGGGATGGGGAGAGCCTTTGCCTCCACCATTCCCACCCACCCTCCCCTTAAACCCTCTGCCTTTGAAAGTAGATCATGTTCACTGCAATGCTGGACACTACAGGTATCTGTCCCTGGGCCAGCAGGGACCTCTGAAGCCTTCTTTGTGGCCTTTTTTTTTTTTCATCCTGTGGTTTTTCTAATGGACTTTCAGGAATTTTGTAATCTCATAACTTTCCAAGCTCCACCACTTCCTAAATCTTAAGAACTTTAATTGACAGTTTCAATTGAAGGTGCTGTTTGTAGACTTAACACCCAGTGAAAGCCCAGCCATCATGACAAATCCTTGAATGTTCTCTTAAGAAAATGATGCTGGTCATCGCAGCTTCAGCATCTCCTGTTTTTTGATGCTTGGCTCCCTCTGCTGATCTCAGTTTCCTGGCTTTTCCTCCCTCAGCCCCTTCTCACCCCTTTGCTGTCCTGTGTAGTGATTTGGTGAGAAATCGTTGCTGCACCCTTCCCCCAGCACCATTTATGAGTCTCAAGTTTTATTATTGCAATAAAAGTGCTTTATGCCGGCTTTTCTCAGCTCTGTGTCATGGTGGTTATTTTCAGGTGCCTCCCCTGCCATTTGGTGCAGGGGGATGGGGTTGGGCAGGGTGAAGGAGGGTGGCAGTGGGGATGCAGTTTCAAGATTGTGTCTTGGCAGAAGAATGCAGCAGTGAACATCCTTCCTCACTGGCTATTAACGGGTTGGGGGTCAGAGGAGGGGGAATGTGGGGTAGGTTTGCATCAAAGGAGCTGCCTGAAAGGGCAAGCTGGGATAGTCAGGGAACATCCCCTCCCCTGTTACCAAATGTTTATTAAATATGTGTTCTGGGTAGAGCACTATGCTCGGGGTTCTTGGGTTACAGAAAAGTGGGAGATACAACACATTTTTGAGAAGTGAGTCACAGTCCACTTGGAGATGTGCTACAAGCAACTGCAAGCAAATTAATGAGATACGAAGAGAAGACTCTGATTTTAAATTGGTATTCCTCAGTAACATTTAATGTAGAAAGACAGTCCTGTGGAGAGGCTGCGTGGTTGCAGTAGCTTCTCTGGACCCTGCCCTGGGTGCCAGGAACACTTTGCCCTTACTGAGAGTTCTAGAGACCGTCAAGAATGCTCCCACACCTTTCTAGACACCTTCCAAAATTGCCCAGGTTGAGAACCATTGATTTTAAAAAGGAAATTATTCAACAGCTTGCTTAATGGCTTTCTAAGTTCTTTTTGTTAATTTATGGTTTTTAGAGTGCCAGAGTCATATTCCAGGGTCACATCTTACCATCCCCAACATTTTTATAAAAATTCTCAAACAACACAAAGATGATTAAAATGAACACCTGTATACCCACCACCTAGATTCTATCATAAACATGTTACTGTATCTATATATCACCTGTCTATCCATCTGTCCATCAAACTATCCATTATGTCTCTTCAGAGTAAATGGCAGACATCACTACAATTCCCCCAGTACGTGTCATTGACTAGACTAGAGAGTAGTGTTTGTTTACACTTTTGTGCCCCTGCCAGGATAAAGAACATCACCATACCAGAAAATTCCAATATGGCCTTCCCCAGTCAACCCCACCCCGCCCTTGGAGGTGGTAATTGTAATTCTTTTCCACCATAGGCTAGTGTTGCCTGTTCTGACATTTAATTTAAATGGAGTCCCACACTATGTCCTTTCGCACAGTCAGTATTGTGCCTTCACTCAGGCATATGGGAAGCTGTTCTCACTGAACTTGGCATTTCAGGGAAATCCTCTGGATTGGGGATGGGAGTCCTCAGAGATGTCCACATCCTAATCCCCAGGACCTGTGAATGTGTCACCTTACATGGCAAAAGGGACTCTGCAGATGTGGTTAGGTAAGGACCCTGAGATAGGAGGATTATCTGTATTTACCTGGGCGGATGCAGTGTAAGCACATGGATCCATATAAGCATCAGTGAAGGCGACGTGAGGGTGGACAGACTTTTGAGGATGCTAAGCTATTGGCTTTGAAGATGGAGGAAGGAGAGCAACAAGCCAAGGAATGCTGGCAGCCTCTAGACGCTGGAAAGGGCAAGGAAACGGATTTTCCCCTAGGACTCCTGAAAGGAACACAGCCCCACCCATACCTTAATTTTAGCCCTGTGATGCCCACTTTGGACTTCTGACCTCCAGAACTGCAGAATTTATTACTAAGGTGATAAGTTAGTGTTGCTTTAAACCATTTGTTAACAGCAACAATAGGAAACTAATACAGGGCCAACTTTTTTTTTTTTTCCCGAGATGGAGTCTCACTCTGTATCCCAGGCTGGAGTGCGGTAGCGTGATCTCGGCTTACTGCAACCTCCGCCTCCCAGGTTCAAGTGATTCTCCTGCCTCAGCCTCCCTGGTAGCTGGGACTACAGGCACGTGCCACCACGCCTGGCTAATTTTTTGTATTTTAAGTAGAGATGAGGTTTCACCGTGTTAGCAGGATGGTCTCGATCTCCTGACCTCGTGATCCGCCTGCCTTGGCCTCCCAAAGTGCTGGGATTACAGGCGTGAGCCACCATGCCCGCCAATATTATTTTTAATGTATAACAGAATAATGTCAGGGTTTTGTTTTTTTTTTTTAATCCAGGATCCTACCACCCTAACAAACAAATCCAACTTCAATTTTTTTTCTCCTTCCTATTTCTTGCCCTAAGCACTTACAACGTTTAGCTTTAATCACAACGTAGTACAAATTTTGCATTTCTGCTTTTTTCCCCACTTGCCATTTTTATCAGGAGTATTTGTCCCTGTTGCCATATGGTTTTTATAACTGTTTTAAGAGGGCTGCTAAGTAAATTATACCACATGAACATTAAATTTACTTAACTACCTTGTTAAAGGATAATTTTTTTAGAAGTTAAAATTATGACTCATACAAATATAAAAGTAACATGTTAAAGATGATTGTATTTAACTTGTTAATTATTGAGAGAACCAGTAGGACACTTTAATTGGCTCAAAGGAGAATCCAAAGAACAAATAATTATAAGCCTAGCAGGAATGCTGAAATGAGTTTGCTTCGTAGTTACAAAACTGGCAAAATTGGCTGATACCTGCAGAACAATAATCAGTTATATTCCATTGGTCACAATTTGCATTTCTATGAACAAGAATCATCTGCATTATCAGTTTCCCTTAATTTACGTAATTGTAAAGTAGCTCAAAGGCAGTGAAATGAAAGGGAATCAACTCAGAAAGGTGGGCTAGATTAGACAGAACACTCAGTAATTGGAGGCAGGGGTGGGGGCAGTGGGCAAGACCTATTTCAAAGTCCTTCACAGTGTTTCCTGATAGCCTGTATTTGGATAGCTGGGTTATGTCCAGTTATTTGCTTTTATTAAATGTCAATACATCTTTGAACATTTTTTTCTTTCCTAAATACCTAGGTTCTATAAGATATAATACTGTTAATAGTAGGGGATCCCTAGGGTCAAAGGAGATTTTGACTTTTGATTAGTGTTGCCAAGTTGACCAGAGTTGTATAAGCCTTTTCCCATGCCAAAAACAAAAACACCATCCATGTCCAATGGCTATCACTTCCATAGTGTCCTAAAAAAAATCTTTAAAAACCTTCCTTTCTCCAGTGGTCCTCTGCTATGTCGTGAATGTGTCTCCCAAAGTTCCATGTGTTGGAAACTTGATCCCCAGTGCAGTGGGTGTGGGGAGGTAGGACCTAATGGGAAATGGTTGGGTCATGGGGGCTCTGCTCTCATGAGTGGATTAATGCTGTTATTATGGGAGTGGGTTCCTCATAAAAAAATGAGTTCAGCCACCTATTGGCCTCCAGCCCTCTCTCTCTTTCTGCCCTTCCACCCTCCACCATGGGGTGGACAGCAAGAAGCTCCTCACCAGATGCCAACACCTTGATTTTGGGACTCCCCAGCCTCCAGAACTCCATGAGATAAATTTCTCTTCATTATAATTTACCCCATGTATTGGTATTTTTATTATAGCAGCAAAAAGTAGACTAAGACACCTTTCCACCTTCTCATTTCTTCTCATATTCATTGGCCAGAATTAAATCTGTGGAGAATTTGACCTGGATCAATCAAGACCCATCACCCCAGGGCTGGAGAAGGGCTCAGACTCCCCTAAAGCTCTGAGCCCTAGAGCCCCTGAACAGATTCCGTTAATAAACAAGAAGCAGGGGGACCAGTGGACCCAGCTAGAAGCGGTTTATGTGGCTACTTACTGTATTTTCTTTTTTTAAATTTCCTTTTTTGTTTTACTTTTGAAATGCATGATGGTTATACTACAGTCCTAGGATTCAGGAAAACTTCTAATTCCACATCTAACCTTTGCTAAGGGTTAGATGCCAAACTACCTTTTGTTTGAGTTTTTCCATCCATTAAATGAACTTGGGATGAGAGTGGGAATGTGGGTGGTCAGAGTGACCAGATGAACTTTAAGATACCTTGCATCTCTAAAATTTTAATTATTTGAAAGTTAATGATCCATGTGAAAAACTTAACTTAGCTGTGGCAACCACATAACACCACCACCACCACCCCACCCTACCCTCTGTTTGAAATGCTTGTTCTTCAGTGCCGCAAAGAAATAGCACTTGAACATTAATTTCTTCAGCAAGGTCATTTTTATACTTTCTGCAGAAAGGGTACACTCGCCAGCAGTTTTGCCACGAGAGAACACCGAACAAAGGAGACAGGGTCATTTATAACTTGACAAGTCCACTTTACTGCTGTGTCCAGTTTCCATTGGCTGGAACGGGACCTCACATTCTGTATTTGTCCTGATTGGCTAGCAACTTAGAACTTTTTAAAAGAGGCAAAGGCAGAGGAGAATGAAGGAGGAAGTAACTTGTGGAATGCTGAGAAACGTAAAAACACCTTCAGATAAGGAAGAGGAACAGGCTATGACCTAATGCTTGCTTGGACCAGTATAAGCATTGCCAGGGCAAATAGGCTAAATTGTGGGAGCTAAGAACATAAAGTACATTGATTTCTTTATTACGGCTAGCAGATATTTAAGAATGTTAGCACAGGTCTTTGAATAAGTTTTGCTCCTAAGAGAAGTTACTATTTATTCTTAATTAGACAGGGAGGAAAGTCTTTGAAGAGGAACCTCACTTTACTTTTTACACCCCTAAGAACCATGATGATAGACTGCAAAAAAGCATCCCATCAACCATCACTTTTTCCAGGAAATGGCTGGCCACAGAAAACTCTCCGCCCCTTTCCTCTTTTGAAATGGTCCCAGACTGCTCACCTGCCTCCTTGAAGCTAATCAAGTCAAATGTACTTGAAGACCACTTTGTCTCTTGGCTTGCTTCCACAAATCCTACCCTTATATGACATTTGCCAAGTCAACACTGTCAGTATTTCTCCTTTTTACTCTATAACGTCTTAACACCTCTGAACACTTACCAAAACAAAGGTTTCAGCAGAAGGGTTCCCCTGCTGCACGTTTATGAATAAATAGCCTTTGTCGATTTTATCTTGGACTTAGTTTTGTCTCTGACACATGTGGAATGGATGTCTGTTAGAATTCTGCCCTTGCCACACCTCTTGCTTCCTGGATAAATGTGGGTTCACTTGGGTTGATGACCTTGGGCTACACTGGCTTCTTCAGAACCCCTGAGAAGCGTGTAGGGATTCTCATTCAGACCTCTAGAATTGAGTGAATCAGTGAAGGGCAGCTGACACCAAAAATGCATTAAAATGTCAAGGCCGGCAGCCCTCTAGCTTCTGGCTGGAGTGTGTGATGATTTCGTCTGAATTCCCTGAGTTCAAGGCATGCAGTGGGCACATCGACTATGGGCCCATCAGAGGCTGAGTTTGCAGCAGCAGCTGTCCTGTACAGCATGCAGCAAAACGGCTGTCAGCTCTTATTAGGAAGGTAGAAACATGCCAGTGGGTATGTATGCAGGACTAGTGTATCCTTGGATGTGCCTGTTACTGACCACTGTGGTTCTGTTTAACATTAATTTGTATATTTCTCAAAGCATCACATGCCCAAGATTTAGGCAAGTAAATTCAGTTAACCACAGAGTATACTTTTATGCCTTTCCTGTGATAACACCATTCTAGATGCTAAGAGTGAATGTAGGATAGGACAGAAAAGTGCTGCTGGCAAGGACCTTACATTCATGCCAGTGAAGGAGACCCAAAACAGATGGGCAAATAATGCCAGCCGTCTGGAAGCAATGGAGTGAAGTGGCCAAGTGAAGTCCTGGAGGAAAATTGTTCTAGGCTAAGTCCCTGAAGGGTGGTGAGTTTGGGGTGCTGGGGAAACAGCAGTATGACCTTTAGAGACAGAGCAAAGGTGTGAGGGACAGAGTTAGGCAGGGGCCAGGTGAGGCAGGCTATTACAATGTAAGTCTAGTGAGCAGTGGATTCCAGCAGGAGAATTATGTCTATTTGTTTTGGGGAGAGTGTTTTGAGACAAGGTCTGATCTGTCACCCAGGTTGGAGTGCAGTGGTGTAATCACAGCTCACGGCAACCTCAACCTCCCAGGCTCAAGCGATCCTCCCACCTTAGCCTCCCGAGTAGCACATGCCACTGTGTCGAGCCGTTTGTTTTTTTAAAATCCTCTGGAAACTGGGAAATTGACTGAAAGGTAGTATTCCTCCAAGCCCTTGAATCTAGGCTGGCCTTGTGACTACTTTGATCATTACAAGGCAGTGGGAAAGGATGTTCTGGGACTTCAAGCCCAGGCCTCAATAGGACTGCCAGCTTCTACTTCCTTCTCAGAACACTAGCTCTGAGCCCAAGCTACATGGAGAGGCCATCGTCCTAGCTGAGAACCTAGCCAGCTGCCACCATGTGAATGAACCACGGTGAACACTCAGCCCATTCAAGCCCACAAATGCCCACAGCTCCAGCCACATCACATGAATAGAGGAACCACCCCACTCAGCCCAGGAAAACCAGAGTTGTGAGACTGAATCACTTGGTTTTGAAGTTTATTTCACAGCAATAGATAAGTGAAACAAGGGCAAGAGTGGTGGATGGATGCAGGACACAAGCCAGCTTTGGGGTTCATTTAGGCCAGAAAGGATGGAGGCCTGGAGCAGACTGGCGGAAGTGAAGATAGTGAATCGTCAGATTCAGGACGCACTTGATGGGTGCAGCTTTCAAGCTGGATGAGAAGGGAAAGAAGTAGAATAGAAAAGCAGCAAGTCTCTGCCTGGCTTTCTCCAGACGACTCCTTAGAGCTTTAGACCCCCCGCTCTCTTTGATAACTACCACCATCCTGCACGAACCAGTTGCTTATACTGGCTTATATTGTGATCGTGTTTTGTTTTTTGTTTTTTGTTTTTTTTTTTGCTCTTTAAGTAAAAAATAAGGTTAAATCTTTGAGAAGTCCTTCTTAAGCAACAAAACCTCAGAGACACAAAGGAAATTATTAATAGATGTAACCACTTAAAAATAAAAAATGAAACTTCTCTATCATAAAAACATGCCATAAACAAAGCTAAAAGATGATGAGCTATAATGGAGAGAAAATATTTGCAAAATATAACAAAAAATCTCATACACTAACTATATAAGCAATTCTAAAGAAAAAGGTAGCCAAATAGAGACTAGCATTAAGCTGCTCTAGGAATTTCACATTATATTACCATATCTTGACGTATGAGTTTTAGACGTGTCATGTGGCCCCTCGGCCTCCAGTAGATATGCCCAGGCTTCTCACAGCATGGTGGTCTCAAGGTTCCAAGAAGGTGAGGAGAAACTTCAAGGCCTCTTAAAGCTTCAGCTGCAGAACTCACATAATGTCACTTCTTCCATGTATTGGTCAAAACAAGTCACCAGGCCAGCCCAGGCCCAAGGGTAAAGAAATAGACTCCCTCTCTCACTAGGAGAAACAGCAAATTTCTCATTGCAAAGTGGTGCGGATACAGGGAGGTGTGGTTCACTGGGACCATTATTATAGCACTCCCACGCAATGGCTAAAAATGCCTTTCTTCTACCCTCATGATTGATAGCTTAGCTGGGAATATTATTTTGTATTGATAATTATTTTCTCTGAGGATGAAAGCATTGCTGCACTCTCTTGGAGCTTCCAGTGTTGTTGAGAAGGGTAATGTCATTTTGATTCCTGTTCCTTTATGTGTGATCTCATATTCCTTTCTGAAATCTTTCAGGATCTGATTTATCTATGGTATGATGAAATGTCGTAACACGGCCTTGTGTGAGTCTTCTTTTTTTCTTTTCTCCCCTCCTTTTCCTCCTGTTTTTTGTTTACTATGTTAAGCATTTGGAAGGTCATTTTAATCTGGATACACATGTCCTTCAGTTTGGAAGGTTTCTGATATTTCTTTGATAGGTATATTTTCCACAAACATATTTTCTCCCAAAACATATCAGAAGAGTGGTATTATTTTACATTTTTAAACATTTACGCTTGGCTTAATAGAATGAGTTCTCACATCTACTTCTGCATTCAATCTTGCAATATGTTGTTTTGGTTGAAATCTATGAAGAAATTACAACTAAGCACATTTTTAAGGACGCTTGTGTCTGAACAGATAGTAATACAGAAACCAACATAACGAGAAATACCTGGCATCTCTTTATCTGAGGACTTTGCTAAATGGGAAATATTTAGTCATCTTCTTGAAAAGAATTTATCCAAACTTGCATTGGTAGAAAACAAAACTGGCTTTGTTTCCCTGTATAAAAACCACTTAGCACTTCATTTGTATATTCAAATGTAGTTTGTGAAGAGAGCAATCAGAGAAATCATGTATCCAATTTGTAAATACAATTAACCAAGAGAATATACAGGTCAGATCGCCCTTCAACTGGTCTCACAATTGCCATCACAAACTGAGTCAGCTGGCCAAAGTGATGGGGAGACATTCTGAGAAATGTGTCATTAGGAGATTTCACCATTGTGTGAACATCATAGAGTATACTTACACAAATCTGTATAGTATAGCCTACCTACCACACACCTAGGCTATACGGTACAACCTGTAGCTCCTAGGCTACAAAACTATACAGCAGGTTTGTACAGTGACTGTTGAATACTACAGGCAATTGGAATACAGTGGTAAGGATTTGTGTATCTGAACAGATCTAAACATAGAAAAGGTCATGTGTCACTACATGACGTTATGCCAGTTGGCAATAGGAATTTTTGAGCTTCATTATGGTTTTATGGGACCACTGCTGTGTATGCAGCCCACCACTGATGAGAACATCATACGCAGTGCGTGACTGTACTTCGACCACCAGGGGTACAAGTGCATGGACTGGACAGAAGGAAAACCTCAGAGAACCTGAGGATGTGGATAAGACTGTTTAGTGAGGTTCTCAACTCATCACAAGCTACCAGGTATTCGGCATGGAGGGGTGGTGACAGTTATGCAGGACATTGACATATGATGATACAGTGGTCATTCTTACATAAAATGAAGAAGACTGTCCAGTAAATTCTATGAGTTTGCAGTAGATGGATCATCAAAGGATATGGGTAATCTTGTAGTAACAGGACTATGTTACTAGGAATTTCACTAGTCCTGTTACTAATTCATAGGCCATGGAGCAATATAAGACCAAGGTTACAAACCCCTAAAATTGTCTGGAAAGAGAATGACTTTTTTATGTACTTTGGTCTGAGCATGTGATTCATAAGTATATGACAGCAGATCAATTCAGATACATCCAGAAGAAGCCATCCTTTATTCTGAAATGTCCTAACCATACCTGAAATAAATACTAAGTGATGCACCAGAATTTTCCTCCCTGGGATCAATGAGCAGTAGCATTGAGAGCAGAAACGGCAGCCGTGGTAACAGGAGCTGCTGTGGTCAGTAGGCTCTCAGGGTCTGTCAGGCAAGAGCATAGGATAGTGACAATTCAAATGAAAGCAAAAACAAACATAAAAAGGAATGAACTACTGAAATGCCAACAATATGGATGAATCTCACAGATATTATAATAAGTAAAAGGAACCAGACTTTTTTTTTTTTTTGAGACGGAAGCTCACTCTGTCACCAGGCTGGAGCGCTGTGGCGCGATCTCGGCTCATTGCAACCTCCGACTCCCTGGTTCAAGCGATTCTCCTGCCTCAGCCTCCTGAGTAGCTGGGATTACAGGCATGTGCCACCATGCCCAGCTAATTTTTGTATTTTTAGTAGAGATGGAGTTTCACCATGTTGGCCAGGATGGTCTCGATCTCCTGACCTTGTGATCCACCCACCTTGGCCTCCAAAAGTGCTGGGATTACAGGCGTGAGCCACCGTGCCCGGCCCAGACTTTTACAAACATTACGTTCTATGTGATTTTCTTCATATGGAACTCTAGAAAAGACAAGTTCAACTTACACTGGCAGAAATCAGGCCAGGTCTGAGGCTCAGGATGGAGGAAACTGACTAGGAAGGAAGACAAAGGGAACCTTTTGGGGTAATGGGAGTGTTCTATATCTTGATTGTGGTTAGGGTTACATGGATATACACATTTGTCAATCTCATGGAAATGTATACTTTAAATGGGTACATTTTATTTCATGTAAATTACACCTCAAAAAGTTTATTTAAAAAATACATGGGGCTTCCATGTTCACACAAGATAAAGTAAGTGGACTCCACCCTATTCCTTCTGCTAATTACAACTAAAAACTAGACAAAATACATAAAGCAACTATCAGAAACCTCTAAAGGTGAAGTAAACTAGGCAGACTGGCAAGGAAACTTAAGTCTCAAGGGATGACCTGGCAGGGAGTTCCCAGAGGCTTTCGTAGTGTTCACGTATTTCAACCTGGGCACTAGAGGAAGGCACAATCTGAAATGACCAACAAGCACAGACAACAAAAGTCCTAAGGAAAATGCTTTCTCTAGTCAAAGGACCTAGAAGAGGACAGTAATGAAGGATGGCCTTTTTTTTTTTTTTTTTTTTTGAGATGGAGTCTTGCTCTGTCTCCCAGGCTGCAGTGCAATGGTGCGATCTCGGCTCACTGCAACCTCCGAGGATGACCCTTTTGACAATACTTGCTCTACTCCAGGTGAACACCATCAAAGAAACCACAGCCCTCCTCTCCCCAACAGGCTCTGCAGAGACTGGTGTGGAGTTCGGTGAACCATCCCTGCTGTGCACGAATGTGGGGGCAACACTCCCCTTCCTCACCAGTGATTCTGGAGACAAGTGGAGCTCTATTAATGAGCCCCATCCTGCACTAATGGGATAAGAGGTGACACCCCCTCCCTCCTCCTTCTTCCCATGGGATGCTATGGACACTCTAGGGTAGAGCCCTGTTGACTACCACCTGTCCTGCAGTAACAGAGGCAGCACCTACCCCCTCACAGAGAGTGTGGGCAGAATAACAGAGAGGAGGGAGCTGCGGAAAAAGCGTCTTTCAATTTGTGCACATCCCCAAGTGGCCTATGTGTGAAACTCATCAGAATTAACACAGCAAAAGCTTTAAGAACTGAGCTATGCTGTGGAATACCACTCGGGTTTCTGGGTATCCACTGGTCTCTGGGTAGCACACAGGCAGAGCAGACCAAGATAACGCTGAATTTGAAACCAAACTGACATTCAAACTCACAGACCACAGAAGTGAGTCATGATGTGCATTCTGAATTGAAGCAGGTTGAATGCATGCTAAAGTAGAAAATATAAAAAGGAATCAGAGTTTCATAATACCCAAAGTACTGATAATATTGAATATTACTTGTCATGTCAGAAAACAGAAAAAGTCAACCAGAATGAGAACAGGCAATCAACAGATGCCAATACCAAGATGGTACTGATGTTGGGATTGTCTGGCAAGGATTTTTAAAGCAGCTATCATTAAAAAACAAACAAAAACACTTTTAACAAGAAACTATGAACACTCAAAAAACAAAGGTTCAATAAATAAAAGATACAAAGAAACCCCAGCCGGGTGCGGTGGCTCATGCCTGTAATCCCAGCATTTTGGGAGCCCAAGGTGGGCGGATCACCTGAGGTCAGGAGTTTGAGACCAGCCTGACCAACATGGAGAAACCCCGTCTGTGCTAAAAATACAAAATTAGCTGGGCGTGGTGGCGTGCACCTGTAATCCCAGCTTCTTGGGAGGCTGAGGCAGGAGAATCGCTTAAACCCGGGAGGCGGAGGTTGTGGTGAGTCAAGATTGTGCCATTGCACTCCAGCCTGGACAACAAAGAGTGAAACTCCATCTTAAAAAAAGAAAAAAAAAGAAAAAGAAACCCCAAATGGAAGATTTATTTTATTTTAAATCATTTTTAAAAAAATAGAGACAGGGTCTCACTACATTGCCCAGGCTGCTCTCAAACTCTTGTGCTCAAGCAGTCTGCCTGCCTCAGCCTCCCAAAGCGCTGGGATTACAGGTGTGAGCCACTGTGCCCAGCCTATTTTATTTTTTATTTATTAACTTATTTCTTTTGAGACAGGGTTTGTCTCTGTCACCCAGGCTGGAGCGCTGTGGCGTGATCTCAGCTCACCTGCAAGCTCCACCTCTTGGGCTCAAGCGATCCTTCCACCTCAGCATCGTGAATAGCTGGGACTACAGGCACATGCCTTCATGCGCAGCTAATTTTTTGTATTTTTTATAGAGATGGAGTTTCGCCATGTTGCCCAGGCTGGTCTGAAACTCACGGACTAAAGTGATCTGCCCGCCTCAGCCTCCCAAAGTGCTGGGATTACAGGCATGAGCCACCACACCCAGCCCCAGATGGAAGTTTTAGAACTTAAAAATATATATATATACACAATAACAGAAACAAACTCATTGGATGGACACAATGGCAGAGTGGAGATGACAGAGGAAAGAAACATTGAACTTGAAGACAAACCAATAAAAGTTACACAGTCTGAACAGAGGAAAAAAAAGACAATAGATTTTTTAAAAATGAATAGGACTTTAAGGACCTATGGGAAAATACTCCAAGATCTAAATACTCTTTAGAGCTATTGAAGTTCCATAAGGACAAGAGAAAGAGTGCAGTGCTGAAAATATACTTAAAGAAATCATAGCTGAAAACTCCCCAAATTTGGTGGAAGGTGTAAATCTTCAGATTTAAGAAAATGAGCAAACCCCAAGCCAAGAGGACTCAACAACCCTAAAATAGTATGCACTGAACAACAAAGTTATAAAATAATGTGAAAACTGACAGAATTGAAAGAAGAAATAGATAAATCCACAATTACAGCGTGGACTTCAACATCCTTCTATCACTAACTGATAGAACCATTAGACAAAAAAAAAAAAATCATCAAAGATTAGAAGAAATTAACAACATGAGCAACAACATTTAAGTGACATTTCTAGAACATTCCATCCAACAGCAGCAGAATACACATTTTTTTTTCAAGTGCACATGGAACATTTACCAAGATAGACCATATCCTGGGACATAAAACAAACTTTAACAAATTTAAAATAATTGAAGTTATGTGAAGTATGTTTTCTGATCAGTTGTGATGGAATTAAACTGTATGCCTCTCACTCATTCTTAAAATGCAAGGCTGGTTTTATACTGAATTAATAATTAGTAACCTTCCAAAAAAAGAAAGTACAAGACCCAGATGGTTTCACTGGTTTCACTGGTGAAACCAAATGTTTAAGGAATAAATAGTATCAATTCTCTGCAATTTCTTCCAGAAAACGGAAGCAGAGGGAATACTTCTTAACTCATCCTATGAGGCCAGCACTACCCTAATACCGAAACGAGATTAAGATATTATAATAAAGGAAAATTAAAAACCAATCTCTCAGGAACACAGATGTACAACTCCTCAATAAAATACTAGCAAATCAGGAGGAGGTGGAGCAAGATGGCTGAAAAGAAGCCTCCAGCAATTGTCTACCCTGCAAGAACACCAAATTGCACAATGATCCACACAAAAAAGCACCTTCATAGGAGCCAAAAATCAGACAAGTGATTACAGTACTTGATATTAAAATCATATTAAAGAAAGAGGCACTGAGTGTGGTATGGAGAGAGAATATGTGCACTTCTGGAAGAGAGCACAGTGATTGTGGGACACTGCAATGGAACTCAGTGCCGCCCTCTCACAGTGGAAAGCAACGGGGCAGAACTTCGCGAGTGCCCATGTCCTAGCCAGGGGCAAATCATCCATCCCAGCAGTCAGAACGTGAGTTCTGGCAAACCCCGCCAAAGTGGGCTAAAGTGCTCTGGGGTCCTAAATAAATTTGGAAGGCCGTCTGGACCAGAAGGACTGCAATTCCTGGGCAAGTCCTGGTGCTATGCTGTGTTCGGAGCCAGTGTACTTGGGAGGCATGTGACCTAGTGAGACACCAGCTGGGGTGATCAAGGGAGTGCTTGTGTCATCTCTCCCCCAACTCCAGGCAGCACAGCTTACAGCTCCAGGAAAGACTCTTTCCCTCTGCTTGAGGAGAGGAGGAGAAGAGTAAACAGGGCTTTTTTTTTGGCAAATTGGATACTAGCTCAGCCACAGTAGAATAGGACACTAAGCAGAGGTCTGAGGCACTCGTTCCAGGCTCTAGCTTCTGGATGACATTTCTAAACTTACCAGAAAGGAACCTACTGCCAGAACAGAAGGACCCAGTTCTGGCAAAATTCATCACCTGCTGACTAAAGGGCCCTTTGGCCTTGAATAATCAGCAGTGTTAGCCAAGTAGTACTGGCCGCAGGCCTTGGGTGAGACTCAGAGCCACACTGGCTTCATGTGTGACCCAGTACATTCCCAGCTACGGTGGCCTCAGGGAGAGACCCCTTCTGCCTAAGGAAAGGAGAGGGAAGAGTAAAGGGGACTTTGTCTTGCAGCTTGGGTACCAGCTTGGCCACAGTTGGGTAGAGTACCGAGTACCAAGTGGGACTCTGGGGCCCCGATTCCAGGTCTTGGCTCCTGGATGGCATTTCTGGACCTGTACTGGGCCAGAGGTAAGCCCACTGCCCTGAAAGGAGAGAATCAGGACTACAAGCATTCACCATAAGCTGACTGAAGAGCCCTTGGGTCTTGAATGAACATAGGTGGTAGCCAGGCAGTACTCACCACGGGCCTAGGACAGTGGTGGCCATGGGGAGACTCCTCTGCCTGAGGAAAGGGGAGGGAATAGTGGAAAGGACTTTGTCTTGTGGCTTGGATGCAAGCTCAGCCGCAGTAGAATAGAGCATCAGGTAGACTCCTAAGGTTCCCAACTACAGGCCCTGCCTTCTGGACGACATCTATGGACCCACCTGGGGCCAATCTCAGACAGAGATTGATGAATATTTGGATAGATAATTCAAAATAGCCATTTTGAAGAAACTCAACAAAATCATGTTGATAACAGAGAAGAAATTCAGAATCCTATCAGATAAATTTAACAAAGAAGTTGAAATAATTAAACAGAACCAAGCAGAAACTCTGGAGCTGAAAAATGCAACTGACATACTGAAGAATGCATCAGAGTCTCCTAACAGCAGAATTTGTCAAGCAGAAGAAAGAATTAATGAGCTTGAAGACAGTGTATTTTAAAATACAGTCAGGAGACAAAAGAAAAAAGAATAAGAAAGAATGAAGCATGCTTACAAGATCTAGAAAATAGCCTCCAAAGGGCAAATCTAAGAGTTACTGGCCATAAAGAGGCAGTAGAGAGAGGGACTAGGGTAGAAAGTTTATTCAAAAGGATAATAACAGAGAACTTCTCAAACCTAGAGATATATCAATATTCAAATACAAGAAGGTTATATAGAACACCAAGCAGATTTAACCCAAATAAGACTACCTCAAGACATTTAATAATCAGACTCCCAAAAGTCAAAGATAAAAAAGGATCCTAAAAGCAGCCAAAGAAACAAATAACATACAAAGGAGCTCCAATACATCTGGTAACAGACTTCTTAGTGGAAACCTTACAGGCCAGGAGAGAAACTAGCATGACATACTTAAAGGGCTAAAGAAAAACTAACCTTTTTATACTGGAATTTATCCAGTGAAAATATCCTTCAAACATGAAGGAAAAATAACGACTTTCCCAGACAAACAAAACCTGAGGGATTTTATCAACACCAGATCTGTCCTACAAGAAATGCTAAAGGAATTTCTTCAATTAAAAAAACAAAAAGGATGTTATTGAGCAATAAGAAATCATCTGGGGGCTCACACCTTTAATCCCAGCCCTTTGGGAAGCCAAGGTTGGGGGATTGCTTGTGTCCAGGAGTTCAAGACCAGCCTGGGTAACATAATGAAACCCCATCTCTACAAAAAGTAAAAATTAGCTGGGCATGGTGGTATGTGCCTGAAGTCCCAACTATTTGAAAGTCTGGGATGAGAGGATTGCTTGAGCCTGGGAGGTTGAGGCTGCAGTGAGCCACACTCCATTGCAGTCCAGCGAGGGTGACAGTGAGTCCCTGTCTCAAAAAAAAAAAAAAAATCATCTGAAAGTATAAAATTCACAGATAATCATAAGTACACAGAAAGACACAGAATATAACACTGTAACTGTAGTGTGTAAACTACTGATCTCTTGAGTAGAAAGACTAAATGATGACCCTGTCAAAAATAATAACTACAACTTTTCAAGACATAGTATAATAAGATATAAATAGAAACAACAAAAAGTCAAAAGCAAGGGGATGAAGTTAAAGTGTAGAGTTTTTATTCATCTCTTTGCTTGTTAGTTTGCTTATGCAATCATTGTTAAGTTGTCATCAGTTTAAAATAATGGGTTACAAGATATT
Organism: Homo sapiens; assembly: GCF_000001405.40. Taxonomy (NCBI): domain Eukaryota; kingdom Metazoa; phylum Chordata; class Mammalia; order Primates; family Hominidae; genus Homo; species Homo sapiens. Next base: position 1,352,876 of record NC_000020.11, on the reverse strand, counting down.
ATTTGCAAGCCTTATGGTGGCCTCAAATAAAAAAACATACAATGGATACACAAAAGTAATAGCAAGAAATTAAAACATACCACCTGAGAAGTCACCTTCATTAAAAGGAAGATGGAAAGGAAGGAAAGAAGGAAAAGAAGACTACAAAACAACCAGAAAACAAATAACAAAATGGCAAGAGTAAGTGCTTATCAATAATAACATTGAAGACAAATGGACTAAACTCTCCAGTTAGAAGACATAAAGTAGGCCGGCCACAGTGGCTTACACCTGTAATCCCAGCACTTTGGGAGGCCAAGGTAGGTGGATCACCTGAGGTCAGGAGTTTGAGACCAGCCTTGCCAACATGGCAAAACCCCGTCTCTCTACTAAAAACACAAAAAACTAGCCAGGCATCATGGCGCGTCTGTAGTCCCAGCTACTTGGGAGGCTGAGGCAAGAAGATTGCTTGAACCTGGGCGCTGGAGGTTGCAGTGAGCCAAGATTGTGCTACTGCACTCCAGCCTGGGTGACAGAGAAAGGCTCCATCGAAAGAAAGAAAGAGAAAGAAAGGAAAGAAGGAAGGAAGGAAGGAAGGAAGGAAGGAAGGAAGGAAGGAAAGGAAGGAAGGAAGGAAGGAAGGAAGGAAGGAAGGAAGGAAAGGAAGGAAGGAAAGGAAGGAAGGAAGGAAGGAAAGAAGGCAGGCAGGCAGGGAGGGAGGGAGGGAGGGAGGAAGGAAGGGAAGGAAGGAAGGGTGGCTGAATGGATTTTAAAAAAATAAGACCCAATAATGTCTTGCCTACAAGAAACACACTTTAAAGACACACGTAAACTGAAAATAAAGGGATGGAAAAAGACATTCCTTGCAAATGGAAACCAAAAAAGAGCAGTATATTTCAAGACAAAAACTATAAAAAGAGACAAAGAAGATCATTATATAATAAAGGGGTCAATTCATCAAGAGAATATAACAATTGTAAACCTATATGCACTCAACACTGGATCACCCAGATATATAAAGTATATATTATTAGAGCTAGAGAGACAGACTCCAGTACAATAACTGGAGACTTCAGCATCCCACATGCAGCATTGAACAGATCATCCAGACAGAAAATCAACAAAGAAACATTGGACTTAATCTGAACTATAGATTCCATCTATAGACCAAATGGACCTAAAAGATATTTATAGAACAGTTTATCCAATGACTGCAAAATACACATTCTTCTCTGCACATAGATCATTCTCAAGGATAGACCATATGTTAGGCCCCAGAACAAGTATGTAAAAATTCCCAAAAATTGAAATACTATCAAGTATCTTCTCTGACCACAGTGGAATAAAACTAGAAATCCAATAACAAGAGGAATTTTGGAAACTGTCCAAGCACATGGAAATTAAACAATATGCTCCTAAATGACTAGTGGGTCAATAAAGAAATTTAAGAAGGAAAGTGAAAAACATTTTGTTATCGTATAAAAAATTTACAAGTAGAAAAAAATAAGAAAAAAGAAAAAAATTTGTTGAAATAAATGAATACGGAAACACAACATACCAAACCCTATGGGATACAACAAAAGCAGCACTAAGAGGAAAATTTACAGCAATAAGCACCTACATCAAAAAAGTAGAAAAACTTCAAATAATCTAATGATGCATCTTAAAAAACTAGAAAAGCAAAAGCAAAACCCAAAATCAGTAGAAGAAATAAAGATCAGAGCAGAAGTAAATAAAATTGAAATTAAAAAATACAGATCAATGAAACAAAAATTTGTTTTTTTGAAAAGACAAACAATGTTGATAAATTTAGCCCAACTAAGAAAAAAAAAGAGAGGAGACACTAATAAAATCAGAGATGAAAAGGAGACATTAAAACTGATACTGCAGAAATTCAAAGACACTACTATTATTAGACACTACTATGAGCAACTATATGCCAATAAATTGGAAAATCTAGAAGAAATAGATAAATCAACCTACCCAGATTGAACTATGAAGAAATCCAAAACCTGAACAGACTAATAACAAGCAATGAGATCAAAGCCATAATAAAAAGTCTCACAGCAAAGAAAAGCCCGGGACCCAATTGCTGCACTGCTGAATTTTACCAAACATTTAAAGAAGAACTAATACCAATCCTACTCAAACTATTCTGAAAAATAGAGGAGAAGGGAATACTTCCAAACTCATGCTACAAGGCCAGTATTACTCTGATACCAAAACCAGAGAAAGACACATCAAAAAAAGAAAACTACAGGCCAGGATCCCTGATGATCATTGATGCAAAAATCCTCAACAAAATACTAGCAAACCAAATTCAAAGACACATTTAAAAAATCATTCATGGCCGGGCATAGTGACTCACGCCTGTAATATGGTGAAACCTCATCTCTACTAAAAATACAAAAATTACCTGGGCATGGTGGTGGGGGCCTGCAATCCCACCTACTTGGGAGGCTGAGGCAGGAGAATTGCTTGAACCTGGGAGGCGGAGGTCACAGTGAGCCATTGCAGATTGCGCCATTGCACTCCAGCCTGGGCGACAAGAGCGAAAGTCTGTCTCAAAAAATAATAATAATAATTAATTATGACCAAGTGACATCCATCCCAGGAATAAAAGGATGGTTCAACATATGCAATTCAATCAGTGATACATCTTATCAACAAGAATGAAGGACAAAAACTACATGATCATTTTAATTGATGCTGAAAAAGCATTTGATAAAATTCAACATCCCTTCATGATAAAAACCCTCAAAAAACTGGGTAGAGAAGGAATGTACTGCAATATAATAAAACCCATATATGACATATATGACAGACCCATCACTACTATCATACTGAATGGAGAAAAACTAAAATCCTTTCCTTTACGATCTGGAATAAGCCAAGGATGCCCAGTACACTATTATTCAACATAGTACTAGAAGTCCTAGCTAGAGCAATCAGACAAAAGAAAGAAAGAAAGAAAGGGCATCCAAACTGGGAAAGAAGAAGTCAAATTACCCTTGTTTTTAGACAATCTGATCTTCTATTTGGAAAAACCTAAAGGCTCCACCAAAAAACTGTTAGATAAATTCACTAAAGTTGCAGAATACAAAATCAGCATACAAAAATCTGTAGCATTTCTATATGCCAAGGATGAACAATCTAAAAAAGAAATCAAGAAAGTAATTCCATTGGGAATAGCCACAAATAAAATACCGAACAATAAACTTAACCAAAATAGTGAAAGATCTCTACAATGAAAACTATAAAACATTGGTAAAATAAATTGAGGAAGACACAAAAAATAGAGATATTCCATGTTCATGGGTTGGAAGAATCAATATTGTTAAAATGTCCATATTATCCAAAGCAATCTACAGAGTCAATGCAATTCCTATCAAAATACCAGTGACATTCTTAATAGAAATAGAAAAAATTCTATAATTTATATAGAACCACAAAAGACCCAGAATACCCAAAGCTATTGTGAGCAAAAGGAACAAAACTTGAGGAATCACATTACCTGGCTTCAAATTATACTACAGAGCTATAATAACCAAAACAGTATGTTAATGGCATAAAAACAGACAGACTAATGGAACAGAATAGAGAACCCAGAAACGAATCCATCTGATCTATTTAAACAAAGATGCCAAGAATATAAATTGGGAAAAGGACAGTCTCTTCAATAAATGGTGCTGGAGAAACTGGATATCCATATGCAGAAGCATGAAACTAGACTATCTCCTGCAATATATACAAAAATCAAATTAAAATGGATTAAAGATTGAAATCTAAGACCACAAACGATGAAACTACTAAAAGAAAACATTGGAGAAACTCTCCTGGACATTGGACTGGGCAAAGTAATACCTTACAAGCACAGTCGGCCAAAGCAAAAATGAACAAATGGGATCACATGAAGTTAAAAACCTTCTTCACAGCAAAAGAAACAATCAACAAAGTAAAGAGACAACCCACAGAATGGGAGAAAATATCTGCAAACTATCCATTTGATAGGAGATTAATAACCAAAATATATAAGGAGCTCAAACAACTCAATAGGAAAAAAAATCTAATAATCTGAGTTTAAAATGGGCAAAACATCTGAATAGACATTTCTCAAAAGAAGACATACAAATGGCAAACAGGCGTAGGAAAAGGTGCTTAACATCATTATCATCATCAGAGAAATGCAAATCAAAACTACAGTGAGATATCATCTCACCCCAGTTAAAATGGCTTTTATCCAAGACAGGCAATAACAAATGCTGATGAGGATGTAAAGAAAAGGCAACCCTCATACACTGTTGGTGGGAATGTAAATTGGTACAAACACTATGGAGAACAGTTTGGAAGTTCATCAAAAAACTAAAAATAGAGATACCATATGATCCATCAATCCCATTTCTAGATAATACCCAGAAGAAGGGAAATCAGTATATCAAAGAGATATTTGCACTCCCATGTTTATTGCTGCACTATTCACAATAGCCAACATTTAGAAGCAATGTAAGTGTCCATCAATAGATGAATGAATAAAGAAAATGTGGTACATATACACAATGGGGTACTATTCAGCCATAAAAAAAGAATGAGATCCTGTCATTTGCAACAACATGGATGAAACTGAAGGTCATTATGTTAAGTGAAATAAGCCAGGCACAGAAAGACAAACTTTGCATGTTCTCACTTATTTGGGGGAGCTAAAAGTTTTTTAAAATTGAACTCATGGAGATAAAGGTAGAATGGTGCTTACCAGAGGCTGGGAAGGGTAGTTGGGGGAGTAGGGAGGGAAATGTGGATGGTAAATGGGTACAAAAATATAGTTAGACAGAATGAATAAGATCTAGTATTTGATAGCACAACAGGGTGACTACAGTCAACAAAATTTATTGCACATTTTAAAATAACTAAAAGAGTATAATTGGATTGTTTGTAACACAAAGAAAGGATAAATGCTTGAGGTGATGGATACCCCACTTACACTGATGTGATTATTACACATTGAATGCCTGAATCAAAATATCACATGTACCCCATAAATATATATACCTACTATGTACCCCCAATTTTTTTTTAAAAAAATTAGCAAATCAAATCCAACAATGTATAAAAATCATTATACACCATGATTTGACCAAGCAGGATTTATTCCAGGCAGGAACAACTGGTTCAACATTCAAAAATCAATTAATGTAATTCATCAAATCAATAAGTTTAAGAAGAAAATCATGTGATCGATCATATCAATGGATGCAAAAAAGGCATTGCCAAAATCCAACACCCTTTCATAATAAAAACTCGCAGCGACCTAGGAGTAATAGGAAACATTCTCAAATTAACAAACGGGAGTTACAATAATTCTACAACTAACATCATACTTAATGATGAGAAACTGGATGTTTTCCCCCCTAATATTGGGAACAAGGCAAAGATGTCCCCTTTCGCCACTCCTATTTAATATTGCACTAGAATTTCTTGCTAGTGCAATAAGACAAGAAAAGAGAATAAAAGGCATGCCAATTGGGAAAGAAGAAATAAAGCTGTCTTTATTTCTGTGTACAGTGTGGCATGATTGTCTAACATAGAAAATCCCAAAGATTCAACAACAAAAGACTCCTGGAACTAATAAGTGATTATAGGAAGTTCACAGAATATAAAGTTAATATTTAAAAGTTTAGTGCTTTCCTTTATGCCATCAATGAACAGTTGGAAGCTGAAATTAGAAACATAATGCCATTTACATTACCACCAAAAATAATGAAATACCTAGGCATAAATCCAACAAAATATGTACAGGATCAATATAAGGAAACACAGAAAACTCTGATGACAAAAATCAAAGAAAATATAAATAAATGGAGAGATATTCCATGTACATGAATAGCAAAACTCAATAATTTTAAGACGAGAATTCTCCCCAACCCTATCTATAGATTCAACACAATTCCAATAAAATTCGAATAAGTTATTTTGTGAATATTGACAGATTCTAAAGTTAATATGGGAAGTCAAATGACCTAGAATGACCAACACAATCCTGAAAAGGAACAAAGTCAGAGGATTAACACTACCTGACTTTATGACTTACTATAAATCTACATTAGGCAAGACTGTGTGGTATTGGTGAAAAAACAGACAAACTGATCAACAGCACAGAATAGAGAGCCCAGAAATACACCCACATAAATATAGTCAAATTATATTTGTCAAAGAAGCAAAGGCAATTCAGTGCAGGAAGAGGGAAGAGGAGAATCTTTTTAACAAATGGGAAAATCCAGACAGTCCTTCCACCTTTTATAAAAGTTAGATCAAAATGGATCTTAGACTTAAATGTGAAACATAAAACTACAAAACTTACAGAAGCTAATATAGGAACCAATCTATGTGGTTTGTGGTTTGGCGATGAGTTTTTAAATTCAACACCAAAAGCACAACCCATGGAACAAAAAATTCTTAAACTGAACTTTATTAAAATTAAAAACTTCTGCTCTGTGAAAGAATGTTAAGAGAATGAAAAGGTAAGCCAAAGATTAGAAGTTATTTGCAAAACACATTAACTGATAAAGGACTGGTATTCAAAATTATAAACACTTAAAACTCAACAATAAGAAAAGAACCTAATTTTTTACATGGGCAAAAGGTCTGAAAATTACACCTCACTAAAGAAAATATGCAGGTGACAAATAAGCATAGAGATGAAGATCCACATCATATGTCATTAGGAGATTGCAAATTAAAATGAGATTTCACTACATATCTTTTAGAGTGACTAAAATCCACAAAACTGACAACACCAAATGCTGGCAACAGAATGCTCTTTCATTGCTGGTGAGAATGCAAAACGCTACAGCTACTTTGGAAGAGTTCAGCAGTTCCTTATAAAACTAAACATATTTGCACCATATGATCCAGTAATTGCACTCCTAGATATTTACCCAATTGAGTTGTAAACTTATGTCCACACAAAAACCTGCACATAAATATTTATAGTAGCTTTATTCACAATTGCCAGAAACTGGAAGCCACCAAGATGTCCTTTAATAGGTGAATGAATAAACAAAGTCTGGCACATCCATTCAATGGAATATTATTCAGCAACAGAAAGAAATGAGCTACCAAGCTAAGAAAAGACATGGAAGAAACAAATGCATATTGTTACATGAAAGAAGCCAGTCTGAAAAGTCTACATAGTGTATGATTTCTACTATGACATTCTGCAAAAAGCAGAACTATAGGGAATGTAAAAAGGTCAGTCAGTGGTTGCCAGGGGTTTGGTGTGAGCGCAGAGGGTTAAATAGGTAGAGCACAGAGGCTTTTCAGGGCAGTAAAAACTATTCTGTATGACAGTGTAATGGTGGATACACAATATTATGCATTTGTCAAAACCCCACAGATCTGTACAATACAAAAAAAGAGAACCTTAATATAGACTATAGTTAATAATAATGTATCAATATTGGTTTGTTAATTAAAACAAGTGTCATTGGTACATAGTGCCAAACTGTGCTCCATAGGTTCAAAGGGCCCTGCTTCATGTACTCTTTCCTTTGTGGTCTTTGTGTCATCAACCAAGTTGTTAGGGTTGATTTGCAAGGTAGCTGGTCCCCTGGTTCTTTCCTCTCCACGTGAGCCTCCACAGAACTGCTTGCGTGTCCTCACAACACAGTGGTTGGTTTCCCCCAGATCCAGTGATCCAAAAGACCAACATGGAAGCTGCAGTGCCTTTTATGACCTAGTTTGGAAGTCACACATTGTCACTTGCATCATACTCTACTAGTAACAGATCAGCCCTGATTCACTGTGGGAGGAGACTACACAAGGGCATGAATACCTAGGAGGTAAGTGTCATCCGGGACCATCCTGAAGGCTGGCTACCACAGGCCCAAAGCCTGTTTCCAGACCCAGCTCCCGCAGGTCTTGAGGTTCAATCCCTACTTCCAACAGTGGGACCTTTATTTTTGGTTTCTGGTCGAGAAAGATTTTGAGAATGAGTGTATATGTTTATATTTATGTATGTATTTAAAAATTTTTTCTATCATTTTTGTGTTTTTCAAGTAAAAAGATAGATTTTAGCATGTGCTAATCTATCCACTTGATCCCCAAATCTCCTATTTCTCTTCTAAAAGTTTATTTTTCCATTATAAAATTACTACAGCTTTATAGTAAGAGAGGTATAGAAGAATTCAAAATCTTATCCCTTCCAAAACAACTTGTAATAATTCATTATTGTCTTTTCTTCCAGTATTTTTAAAATAAGTTTTTTTTTTAATTTTATAAAACATGCAGCTAATGCATATTCATTTTGGAAAAATTATTTAATAGATAAAAACCAAAAACAATAAAATTACTAGCATTTGTAATTCTTCACCCCGATTTATTTATTTATTCTAGGTTTATTCTAGGTTTTTTTCCTGTGCACACACATAAAAATTCATATACATATATATACCCACACCTTTTAAAAGTGGGTTTCTACTGCATATGCCACTACTTGCCTGGGTTATTAAATTTATTCTTGGAGTGTCATTTAAATTCCTGAAGAGCGATCTGCTATATGAGTGTGTGTGTGACACTCTTTAGTCAATCACTATTTTTAATCACCTAGACTTTTTTTCACTACTATAAACGATGTGATGAAGATCCTTGGCTAAATCTTCATTCACCTCACAGTTATTCCTTAAAGCTAAATCCTAGAAGTAGTAGAACTCTTGGTTCAAAAAGTATGTACACTTTTCAGGCTTTTGATACATTTTATCAAAATCCCTTCCATCAGGTCTTCCTCTTGAGGCAGGAAAATAGGGTCTGGAGGCAGGGAACATAAGGCCAATTCACACTTCAGCTATGACAGGAAATATCCTCTCCATGAGGCATACACCAAGTAAATGACTTTGTAACTTTACTTCATCCTCTTCATTTACACAGGGCATACATGAAGTAACCAATGGAATCCTCTAGGGGGTATTTAAACTCCCAAAAATTCTGTAACGGGGCCCTTGAGCCCCTATGCTTGGGTCCATTCCCAAACTGTGGAGTGTACTTTCATTTTCAATAAATTTCTGCTTTTGTTGCTTCATTCTTTCCTTGCTTTGTTTGAGCGTTTTGTCCAATTATTTGTTCAAGACGCCAAGAACCTGGACACCCTCCACCGGTAACACTCTTACAATTATGCAGTTGTGCAGTGCATAGCCCGTGCCACTATATGTGGCAGTGTTGCCCACTTAGCAATGAGGAGCGCATATTTTCCTGCATTATCACCAAAACAATGTTATCATCTTTTATTTATTATTATTTTTTTGAGTCAGGGCCTTGCCCTGTCACCCAGGCTGGAGTGCAGTGACGCAGTCTCAGCTCACTGCAACCTCTGCCTGTCAGGCTCAAGCCATCCTCCCACCTCAGCCTTCCGAGTAGCTGGGACTACAGGCATGTGCCACCATGCTTGGCTAATTTTTGTATTTTTTGTACAGATGGGGTCTCACTATTTTACTCAGGCTGGTCTTGAACTCCTGAGCTCAAGTGATCCACCTGCCTTGGCCTCCCAAAATGCTGGGATTATGGGTGTAAGCCACCATGCCCAGCCTGGATGTTATCATCTTTTAAATGTTTGCTAAAAAATGAGTGAAAAAGTATTTTGCTGTTCTATGCTTTTTTTGGAGACGAAGTCTCACTCTTGTCCCCCAGGCTGGAGTACAATGGCGCTATCTCGGCTCACTGCAACCTCCGCCTCCCAGGTTCAAGCACTTCTCCTGCCTCAGCCTCCCGAGTAACTGGGATGACAGGCGCCCACCACCACGCCCGGCAAATTTTTTGTATTTTAAGTGGAGACGGGGTTTCACCATGTTGGCCAGGCTGGTCTCAAACTCCTGACCTCAGGTGATCCACCCTCCTCGGCCTCCCAAAGTGCTGGGATTACAGGCGTGAGCCACCGTGCCCGGCCGTTCTATGCATATTTTTAATATACTGTAAGTGTGGTTCCAGTGACTCACTGAAGAAATATTTATTAAGGTCCTATAACACAATAGTAAACAAAAGAGTCCCCGTCGTCATGGACCTTAACTTCCAGTGTACGCATTGCATACGTGTTTGGGTGTCCTGCCCCTCACCTGTCAGGACAGGGACATCCCCATCATGGGCTCCTCTCTGCTCTGGAAAGACATTAGATGTGACCCATCACAGCCTCCTCTGTATACACCAGGCAGACAAAACCTCCCGAGCTGTCTCTCAATGTTGGCAGACTGACCACTTCTCAGTCTTCACAGGGGAGAACCAGGGAAGAAACAATCTCTGCCAACCAATGGCATTCAGACCTCTCCTGTCATGTTTGATGGATATGAGGTGGTCCCTCAATGGAAATAATGGACTCAGGACACTGGCGAGATGAGCTTGAAAGAGTTATCTGGGTCACGGGAAGACTGGAATGGTAATATTGAAGCTTTAGGAACTAGGGAAATTCGACCTTGGTGAACATTACAAGGGCAGGCCTTCATGGTTATGTACGTTCTTCTGGAAGTGATGGAAACTGAATATAAAAGACTTTGTGGCATAGCAGGAACTCAGCCTTTTACTCTGTTCTGGAAGGATCCTACCTACTCAGAGAAAGTAGCAACCACTGCACAGGGAACTGGGGAAGGTCAAAAGCCAGGCCATGACTGGCTGCATCTGCTCTTGCTCTGTGGCCATCTCACTACCCTTAGCTAAAGTAATGTGAAACATGGGGTGTATATATCATGCGTGTGTGTGTGTGTGTGTGTGTGTGCATTTGTTCTCTTCTGGGCCATCTGTTGTCCTCACAGCCCTGCAGTGAGTCAGACTCAGCCATCAGATTAAAAGTGGGAAAGGAGCAGAAGTTCCAGGCAGGAATGAGGCTGCCTTTTAGCCAAGCTCAGCTGTAGCATAACTCACTGGGGATGGCTGAGTGACAGGACTGGAAGATGTCCTTTGGGACCACAGCCCGGGGCTGTGAAGCCAGTGCAGCAGTGAGACACTGGGAAGGGGTTTTTGCACAGGCTGGGAAGAGGCGCCCAGTGGCAGCCATGGGGCAACTCCAGGAACAGGGGTCCTTGAGAGCATCAGAGATCAGCCCCTTCACGTGAGGGGCCCCTACTAAGCATTAAAAGGCCTAGCTAGGTGTAAGGATAGCTGGGGAGCAAGAGGAGAAGGGGATGGGCAGATGAGGCTGACCTGGCCCAGCACCGGCATGTGTTTGACTCCTAGGTGGGTGCCCAGGGTTGGAGCAGGCAAGCATTTGTCATTCACTTCTGCCCAAGGCCTGACATCTCCATCATCCAGGCTAAGCAGAGCAGGGAAAGGATACCCATCTGAAGCACAGAGAGGGTATGGCTTCCCTAAGGACACATAGCATAATCAGGCTTAAGACTCAGAAGCAATGGCTCCCTGTCCCGGGTCACTCCCTCGTTCACTCCTTTCTGGGATGCCCATTAAGGACCTCTCCTTATGATCATCAAAACATTTACTGAGCACAATAGGGCAGTGGGAGACCCACCTCGTACAGGCAATGAGGGGGACGTAGTCTGCAGAACAGTTGAAGGTGACAAGAAAACCACCAAAAGTAGGTCTGCTTTTTAGTATCACTGCACTGGCAATTTCAAAGTCAGTGATTAAATTAGTCCAAAAAACCTTCTGTTAGTCTTCAGTTCTAAACAATCATTGTGGTTATGGTTAAGTTTTAATATGATATTAGCACATTTAAAAACCACCTGTAATAAGCATTGTATATAGACATTAATCCAGAGAACTTCCAATTATATACTTGGCCCCCAACACACCCAGACTCAGCCAGGGGCATTTGTTTCAAGTTTGCTAGCAATTTGGAATGCTTCAAAGAAATGGTAACGATGATCGTAACTCATTCTCACACACTACCTCCCCATCAGCACCATCTTAAAGTTTCTTGAATGAGGGTGTGCCCGAGAATGGATGTCCAAGAAATCTGCCAGCCAGCAGGCAGAGGGGGAGTTAGGTGTTGTCACTATCTGCTATCCATTTGTTTGGGTGGCTGTGATAAAGTCCAGTGGAATTTTACCCGATTCCCTATCACTTAAAATGACTTTTAAAATGATGCCACATGGAAATAACAGATTATATTGAGTATACAGAAGACTGATTTACTGCTAGCCAGACAATGCGATTGAAAGAGAAGGCTGGGCATGGTGGCTCAGGCCTGTCATCCCAGCACCTTGGAAGGCTGAGGTGGGATGATCACTTGAGTCCAGGAGTTTGAGACCAGCCTGGGCAACATGGCAAAACCCCATCTCTACAGAAAATAATTAGCTGGATGTGGTGATGCATGCCTGTAGTCCCAGCTACTCAGGAGACTGAGATGGGAAGATCACTTGAGCCCAGGAGTTAGAGGCTGCAGTGAGCTATGATCATGCCACCGCAATCCAGCTTGGGCAACAGAATGAAACTCTGTCAAAAAAAAAAAAGAAGAGAGAAAAGAAAAAGGAAAGTAAAAATTGCTAAACACCTCCAAAGTCTATGTAGGAAATATGTAAATGGTGGTCCATTTCCAAGATGAAGTGCCTCAAGTAGGCCTGGGTCTGCCAGCTACAGAAGGACAGAATATCCTAGGCCCTTGCTTCAATAGCTGGAGCCTGCTTGTTGGGGTGCCCTTAGTTGCTCTCATCCGAACCTAAGAGTTTAGTCTAGAATGAAAATTTACTAGCCTGCAAAATAGCTCACTTTATCTATTCTTTTATCAGCTTGCCTGACTACCTAGGTCATAGGTCAAATACTTAAAAAGCCCTTGAGCAGACTATAATTGCAATGCATTATGGGCTGCAACAAAATGCACCGAGACAACCCTAAAGAAAACACCCAAAACCCCTACCTGGCCAGGCGCGGTGGCTCATGCCTGTAATCCCAGCACTTTCGGAGGCCGAAGCGGGTGGATCACTTGTCAGGAGTTTGAGACCAGCCTGGCCAACGCTGGTCTCCATAATACTCAGCCTATGAGGAACCAGGAGAGGGACCTGCACACTAGAGGATAAATTGCTTGTTGTAACTGTGCGGGGTATGCCTGCCCACCAGACACCTGATCTTGCAAGACTGTATTAAAAGTCTCACTTCCGCTATTCTCCGTGTCTCTGAGTCCATTCTTTGGGTTTGGACGGGTGAGTTTGTTTCTCACAGTCTAGACTCTAGATGTGAAGAACTTTGATCATATCACCAAAGGAGATGGTGGTATGCAATTTTATAAGTAAAAATACACTAGTGTCAGTTTTTTTTACAAGGGAAACCTGATTTGCATCTTTTTAATTAAAAAAAAAACAACACTGTTATTAGGTCAGGTGCAGTGGCTCAGGCCTGTCATCCCAGCACTTTGGGAGGCCGAGGTGGGTGGATTGCTTGAGTTCAAGACCAGCCTGAGCAACATGGAGAAACATCATCTCTACTAAAAATACAAAAATTATCAGGGTGTGGTGGCATGTATCTGTAGTCCCAGCTACTTGGGAGGCTGGGAGGATGAGGCGGGATGATGCCTTAAGCCCAGGAAGCGGAGGTTGCAGTAAGCCGAGATTGCGGCACTGCACTCCAGCTTGGGCGACAGAGCCAGACCTTCTCAAAAAAATAAAAATAAAAATAACCTGTTATTAAGCAGATTTAATATTTTCCTTTAAAAAATCATCGTACCTTTGATGGCAGCATAGAATTAAGTAACATCAACAAAAGTCAGGCTTTTTCTAGCTGTAAGCAACAGAAAACCCACTTCAAACTGGCTTCAGTGAAAAAGGCATTTGATTGTCTTGTACCTGAAAAGCCTAAGGGTGAGCAGTTGGCTTCACGCACAGCTGGACTTGAGGGGTTAAGCTGCATCAGGAGGCCCTGGGTCTCTCTCTCCATCCCCAGCTCCGCCTTTTCTGCAATGGCTCCATTCTCCATGGGGGCAGGATGGCTGCCAGTTAACTCCAACCTCAAATCCCCTCAGGTTTGACGCTTCCAGACTTCTCCATAATCAGGACCAGTTCTAAGCCTGATGCCATGGGCTGGAATTGGGTCACATGCCCCACCCAACCCCCATTCCTCTGAGGTTTGGGAAATGGAATGCACAGATCCGCAAGCCTCTCTTCCCCTTTTGGAGCCAGAAGAAGAGTCAACTCCATCCACTGCACATGGCTGAGGTGGAGGAGAGGAGGCTTCCCCAGATGAAAATAGAGGACAGCTACCATAAGGGGAAGTGGATAACAGGTGACCCCCAAAGGCCATACCTGGAAGGTAATTATGTAAATGTATATTAATATGTAATAATAGTTGGAGGTTCAGAAAGGTGACTTCTGAATCACCCACCTGCCAGCCCAGGTGACCCAAGAGGGAAAGCATCTTTGTTAGACCATCTGGCAGAACGGGAGAGTCCATGGTGTTCCCTGGTATGGTAGGGGTGGGAAGCCAGAGGCTACCAAGGGAGAGTGACTTGCCCAGGGCCACATAGCCACCCACAGGCAGCGATGAAACTAGAACACAAAACTCAGGTGTCTCGTTCCCTATCCAGTGCTCCCAGCTGGCCTTGTGAGGGCAAAAAGGGGGTTCCAGGAGGGGTCCTCCAGCTTGTTCATCACCCCCGGAGGAGCGGCTCCAGCAGGCTCTCCTAGCTGCCATGGTGGATATTTTCAACAAGCCCCTTCCGCTCCCCTGCCCCCAGTGCCCTGGGATCTCCCAGTCTGTCTCAGGTGAAAGGAGGGGCAGGTCAGTCTTACCCTGGGGTCCTGAGTCCCACAGGCCTTCCCAGTCTTGACAGCACCAATCTGTGGCCTTCATCTTACATACAATGCAGTAAGAGCCCTAGGCAAGGGCCTCTACCCTCTCCAGCTCTTTCTGAAGCCACCACCACCAGGTCAGGCTGGGTCTTCCTGGGCTCCAAATCTCCACCCCACCGGATCCTAAGATACCAGCAGTGCTCCCACAGCTGCGTTCAGAGCCAGCACCACTCTGACATTAACCCACCAGCCAGGCTACCTGGGGGACTTCTCTGTGGGAATGCTTAGGTGCAGCAATGATTGAGCTGGGGAGGGAGGCCTGTCTTGAAGTACTGTTTGCATAAAAGCACATTATTTTATGTCGATGGTGTTTATTTGGATAAGGGAGTTATTATGATAGAGATTAAAAGGGGCTTAAGCACCCCCCAGCCCACACCTTGGTGCCACCACTGTTATCAGCAGTTTAAACGAGAGGCACCGCACCTTAACTCAATGACAGCACCAACAGTGGAAATCCAGACCCCTCAGGTCATGGGAAGAACAGACTGGGATGTGGCCAGGACACATGGACAAGGTCTTCCCGGCACGTTAGCACTGTAAACAAGGATGATATTGATGACACAGAAAACTGGCAATGGTAAATTAAGTGAAAGGGGAAAATTATGAGAAAGTATGTATAACATGCATATAATCATATATGTATGTATACACATATAAAGTTATAGTAGTTAAGAGCATAGGATCTGAAGCCAGTCTGCCTGGGTTCAAATCTTTCACCTCTTACTTACCTTGAGCATTTCATTTAAACTCTCTGTGCCCCAATTTGTTTATCTGTAAAATGAGGCTAATCCATCTAAAGTGTCTAACACGGGTCCGGACATACAGTAAGTGCTCAAAAATGTTAGTGGCTAATCTTGTTAGTCTCTTGCACAGGAAACTTGCACCCCCAGCCTTGGTGGTGACCAGGCCTGAGCCTCCCCACCCCTGGCTCAGGAACCCCAGCACCCCGCCACTGCCGGCTGCCCATTGTTCCTGCCTTCCTGTTCTGCCCTGCTCCGGAACACAGCGGGAGCAGCTCCAGCCAGACGGGAAAGCATCCGTGTTCTGGCACCTGCCCCGACTCCACCCTCAGGGTGCTCAGCCAGGCCCCTCCTGCCCCTTGTTGGGAGCACTGAACTACCAGTCTTCAGACTGAATCCTACTTGTGTTTTCTCAATGGAAAAACTAGAAAACGAAGGAACCCACTCGACAGGGCCACCTGAGGGTTGAGTAAGATCATGTGTGCAACAATGGCAATGGCTGTCCTCATACTGTCTCGCTCAAGATCAGCTTCAAATGCTGCTTCCGGCCAGGATGCAGGGGGGACCAGTTCCGCCTCTAGTGTCTGGGGCTTAGATTTCTCAGGTCATGCTGCCTCTCCCTATCTGACACCCAGAATCTCCCCAGAAAGACAAGATAGACACTTCCCTGAGATTAGAAGCTAGCTATTCAATCTAGGTGAACATGCCATTTTGGAGATTAGACAAACTGAGCCCTGGAGGAGTCAAACGACTCCGAGTAACCCAGCCAGCCACTGGCACAGGTGTGGTGAGGAGCCAATGCCAAAAGTGGGTGAAAGAGCTGGGCAATGTTCCCAGGCTGGCAGCCAGGAAACCAGGGCTTGGGGTCCCTGGATCCTCAGGTGCGGTGAAGAGGCAAGGCCAAAAGTGGGTGAAAGAGCTGGGCAACATTCCCAGGCTAGCAGTCGGGAGAGACCAGGGTTTGGGGTCACTGGATCCTGGCTCTGCTACTGAATTGCTATGTGACTGTTCTGTGCCCCTGCTTCCCTTGTCTGGTGGCTACAGGAAGGCAGATGTGGCTCATCACCCTGCCTGTGCCATAGTCTGGCTGCATTACTGAGTCATTTGACCTCTCCAGGGCTCAGTTTGTCTATCTCCAAAATGGCATACTCACCTAGATTAATGAGCTAGCCCCTGATCTCATGGGAGATTCTTTCTCATCTTTCTGCTGCCTTCTCCTCCATTTCTCTGCTCAGAAGGGGAACTGTGTCAGCAGATCAGGGCTGGCTATTGGAGGCTTTTGGAAGAGTAAATCCAAGTCATAGCTTCATGTCTCTCTGCGCTGGGCAGGACCAAGGCTAGGCTTTTTTATTTCAATAGGTTTTGGGGTACAGGTGGTTTTTGGTTACACGGGTAAGTTCTTTAGTGGTGAGTTCTGAGATTTTGGTACACCTGTCAACTGAGCAGTGTACACTGTACCCAGTATGTAGCCTCTAATCCCTCAACCTCTCCCACCCTCCCCTGTGAGTCCCCAAAGTCCATTATATTATTCTTCTTCACCTTTGCATCCTCATAGCTTAGCTCCCACTTAAAAGAGAGAACATCACAAAGTCAGGAGTTCAAGACCAGCCGGGCCAGCATGGTGAAACCCCGTCTCTACTAAAAATACAAAAATTAGCCAGGCATGGTGGTGTGCGCACCTGTAGTCCCAGCTACTTGGGAGGCTAAGGCAGGAGAATTGCTTGAACCTGGTAGGCAGAGGTTGCAGTGAGCCGAGTTCGCATGCCACTGCACTCCAGCCTGGGCGACAGAGCGAGACTCCGTCTCAAAAAACAAAAACAAAAGAACAAAAAAAAACCCCAAGAGAATATATGATATTTGGTTTTCCATTCCTGAGTTACCTCACTCAGAATAATGGCCTCCAGCCCCATCCAAGTTGCTGCAAAGGCCATTATTTTGTCCCGTTTTATGGCTGAGTAGTATTCTATTGTGTATATATACCACATTTTCTGTATCCACCCATTGGTTAATGGGCATTTACATTGTTTCCATATTTTTGCAATTGCCAACTGTGCTGCTATAAACATGTGTGTGCATGTATCTTTTTCATACAATGACTTCTTTTCCTTTGGGGAGATACCCAGTAATAGGATTGCTGGATCGAATGGTAGTTCTACTTTCAGTTCTTTAAGGAATCTCCATACTGTTTTCCGTAGCAGTTGTACTGGTTTACATTCCCACCAAGGCTGGGCTTTTGACCTGCTTTCTCCCCACCCCCACCTGAGGGAAGCCGAGAGGACCTGTGTGTCCACAGGTTGGCTTTGACATGACATGTCATGACACGAGATGACACAAAGCAGCAGCTGAGTGCCCACTGTGCAGTAGTGAATGTCCTGTCAACAGAGGGCGTTTACTGAAGATTTGAGGATGGAGGAGGAGCTGAGGCTTGCATCATAGGAAGGCAACAGCTTCAGAACCTGACTCTATTCTCAGAGTACCCTCCTACTTGCCTGCACCCTCCCAGGGGACCTTCCCTGGGGGTCACTATACTGGTCCAGCCTCTGTCCATCATGCTACCTTCCTTCTCTTGCCCCCTTTTTGCACCCCCATCTTGTGCATTGCCACAGGAACCCCCAAGTCTGTTTGAATGGGGGAAGGCATCAGGGGCCAGAGTGCCCCCACCTCCGTCAACTCCCCCAAAACTGTCCCAAATAAAGTCACCCCAAAGAAATCTTAGGAATATATTGTGCTTTTGTAAGCACACAGTCTTACAATATGCCCCCGCCAAACTGACTGCCTCCCCAAAGCCCCTCTTTGCCAAGCTCCTGCTCTCAAATTTGACCACCCAAATCCAGCATAGGGCTCAGCTGGGCAGAGTCTTCTGCTGAAAAGTCCACCTTCCGTAGAAGGCTGCTGGGAGTAGACAGAAGTTTCCCCACTGTTACTCATCCATTTCATCTTCATCAAAATTCTGCAGGTTAGGGAATACTGCCCCAATTTTGCAGAAGTGGAAACTAACGCTCCTGCCTGGGACTGTGTCTTAGTCCATTCAGGGTGTTGTAACAGCATACCTTAAACTGGGTAATTTTTTAACAGGAATTTACTGCTTATAATTCTGGAGGCTGGGAAGTCCAAGATCAAGGTGCTCTCTGCTTCAAAGATTACATTTTCTTACTGCATCGTCACGTAAAGGGGCAAACAAGTTCCCTCAGACCTCTTGTATAAGAGTCCTAATCTCTGCCCTAATGACGTAATCACCTTCCAAAAGTCCCCACCTCTTAGTACTATCACATTGGAGATTCAGTTTCAACATAGGAATTCTACCTACAGTGGCAGGTTGCGCTGTCCAGCCTCGGCCCCAGACTCCAGAATGTCAGACGTCTTTCCATCTCTTCAGCCCCTCACTCCCCATGTAGGTCCCAGCAGGGCTCGGTGCAGCCTCCCAGGCCACATCTGCTACCCCTGCCCTGACACAGATGATCAGAGCTGGCTGGCAGACACTCTGGAACAGAGGCCTGAGGTTGTTATTAATGTCATCCTCCTATATTTCCTACTCTTTGCCTTCCAGGCATGTGGTGGGATGGCAGCTCCCTGTTCCCTTGTGATTGGGAGGTGGGGTAACCTGGCCAACAAGGTGTGAGAAGTGACATCTGTCATTTGGGCTGGAGCACTTAATTGCCAGATAGAGATCTCTTTCCCTCTGCCGTGGCTTCTGACGGCCTTTGAGATGGCAGCTGCTCCATCACCCCCAGTCCTGGAGTAAGGAGACATGGGGACCCTGCCAGCCCTTGACGGGTAGTAGCGTGCATGAGAATGACACTTCCTATTAGGAGCCACCAAGATTTCAGGGTTGTTTGTTGCTGCAGCATAACCTGGCCTACCTTAACTCACACACATCTCCAAAAAGCAAAACCAAGATGGAGCTCAGAAATAGCATGAAGGACATTGTGTTTGGAGACCAAATGCTCATAGTGGACATCTTTGGTGTTCACGCCACAGGAGGGACTGGAAGTGGCAATAGAGTTGGCCCTTTGTGGGGCCTTAGTACCGTTAGGGCAAACCTCAGAGAAAATCCATCCAAACTCTTCCCTGGCCAAATACGGAGACTGAGGTCCAGAAAGGGCAGGGCTTCACAGCATGCTATAGTAGAGGCTGGCACAGAACCTGCTAACAATAGACTGCCTCCATTTCCCAGTCTCCCATGCAGCTCTATGTGGCCATGTGATCAAATTTTTGCCACCTAAGGACTTCTTTGTGGGTTTCTTAAAGAGAAATCTGTGACTCAGCTGCACTAGGGTAGGAGACTCCTAGAGGTTCAGAGCCAAGGCCTGGCCTTACCACTCTTGGGGTGTGTTGCCTTGGGCAAAGTGCTTCACTCTGAAGCTGGGAATTATGGTGAACAGATGAGATCAGTGTATGCCCAGTGCCCAGCAGAGCACCCAGTGTGCAGGAGCTCAATAAATGCTACGCTTCCTGTTATTATTTCAATTCAGCAGTAGGAACAAAGCTGTGATGACATAAGCCAGGGTCTTGCTGCACTACCCAGATTCCATGCAGAGGGCTGGAGTGTAGAGCAGCTCCTTCTCTGCCCAGCCGACATTCTCTCTTCTTCTGGGAAGAGCATCTCTATTTTCACTCCAATCAGATGACTGTTTCTGTGACATGTAGCCATGAGAAAGTAGGAAACTAACATTTACTAAATGCCAGCTGTGTCCTAGGTACTTCACATGGTTACCTCATTTAGTCTTCAGGATAAGTCTATAAAGAAGGTAGGTGTGGAAACTACAGCTCAGAGAGGTTTAGTAACATGTGCAACATCACAGAGCTGGGACTCAGATCGGATGCCCCAGCCCAACCCATCTTTTAAATAAGGGTCAGCCATTTAAGTTTCTAACTGTGATTGACTTTTCTAGGAGGGGCATTTATTCACTCAGTCAATATTTACTGAGGCCAGGTGTGGTGGCTCACGCCTGTAATCTCAGTACTTTGGGAGGCCAAGGTGGATACATCCCTTGAGCCCAGGAGTTCAAAACCAGCCTAGGCAACATGGCAAAACCCCATCTCTACAGAAAATACAAAAATTAACCAGCTGTGGTGGCATACGCCTGTGGTCCCAGCTATTCAGGAGGCTGAGGCAGGAGGATTGTGGGAGGCTGAGGCAGGAGGATCTTGGGAGGCTGAGGCAGGAGGATCGTAGGAGGCTGAGACAGGAGGATCACTTGAGCCTGGCAGACAGAGCAAGACCATATCTCAAAAAAAAAAAAAAAATTTACTGTGAGCCTGCTATGTGCCAGGCATAGTACTAGGCCTCAGGGTTAAGACAAGCCCCTGCCATCATGGAGCACCCATTCCAGATGGCATGGAGACTTCACCTCATGAGCCAACTCTAGGTGACGGTAGCTGCCTGCAGCATTATGACGAGAGGATCCGGAGAGGCCTCTGGGCCCAGCAGGAAGGACATTAGTGGTTGATTACTCAGGGTGCCATGGGTGCTACCAGGGAGTTTCTGAGTGTGTGCTGTTTACTGGCCACCCAAAGTTTTAGACTTGTTCATACAAATATATAACAAAGCAGAAATATTGTCTGGTCAGAGCACAGTTCCACTCCTTATTTTGAAAAGAGTAACTGGCTGGGTGTGGGGTCTCACACCTGTAATCCCAGCACTTTGGGAGGCTCAGGCAGGCAGACTGCTTGAGCCCAGGAGTTTGAGACCAGTCTGGGCAACATGGCAAAACCCTGTCTCTACAGAAAATAAAAAAATTAGCCAGGTGTGGCAGTGTGAACCTGTCGTCCCAGCTAATAGGGAGGCTGAGGTGGAAGAATCCTTTGAGCCTGGGAGGTGGAGGCTGCAGTGAACCATGATTGCACCACAGCACTATGGCCTGGGTGACAGAGCGAAATGCTGTCTCAAAAGAATGACCACTGTAGAGCTAATAACTTGGCCCTGCCCTCAGGGAACTTAGGGTCTAACTAGTAGCCTAAAAGGTACACATGAGTACAAGATGATGATTATTAAAGAATGGAACAGGAGCGTCTGATCCAGAGTCAGAGGCGGGAGAGGCCACATGGATGTGGGGGATCCCAGAGGCTTCCTGGAGGAGCTCAGTGGTGGATGTGGCTAGGTGGGTGGGGGCAGGAGAAGGTGTTCCAGGGGCAGCAGCAGGACAGGCAAAGGTATGGAGTCAGGGCAGGTAGGAAGTGGGTGTGCAGTGGGGCAGGAATGGTGGGGCTCCCAGTCCAGCTGAGGCAGAGGTGCTGGGGGAGTGCTGAGGAGGTAATAAAGGGAGTGGGCTGTGGAGGTCTCCATGTCAGCCCTGGGAGTTTAGCCCAGACCCTGAAGCAGGAGGGAGCCACTGAAGAGTTCGAGCAAGGGCATGCCCAATGAAAGATATTTCCAGGTGGCTGGAAGTCAGTGATGGGTGGCAACTATCCAAAGAGGGAATAGAAAGAGAGTCCCTGTAGGTATTAAATAGGTGGGAGTTAGGGGACCTGGGCTCCATGCTGACATGCTGGGACCACAGGCAAGCCCCTTACCTGGAAGGGCCTGCTTCCTCCTCCCTCTTCTATAAAGGCCCTTTCAGGTCATGACTGAATGAAGTGAGGTGGGGGAGGAGTGGCTTGGTTTAGTTAGGATCTCTATTTTCCACTTTGCTTTGGCCTTGGACACCTGACCTAAGGTGGGTCCATCACCCACGTTACCTCAGCTTCAGGCCCACACAGCTTACTCTGAGGTTGCCCCACACCTCAGCTTTCTGAAACAGTATGTCCCATAGAAGAGAAGACATGAACTTGGCCCACTTTCCAGCTAACTTGAGAGAGAAACTTTGCCTCTGTGCCTCAGTGTCCCCACCTGGAGGAATGGTGTGAGTCACACCTACTCTGCAGGGATGGCATGAGAAGCCATTGAGATAATGCCTTTAAAGTGCCAGGGGTAGAATCTCTGTGCTCTCTGGGAGTAAGTGCTGAATTAGTGGCAAATGTCTTTCTTGTTATTATTCCTATTGTGTGTTTCCTGTGTGGGACTCTGGGCTGTAAGCTCTTCATTGGCAGGCACAAGATCTGACACCCAAGGCTAGTGCAACTCTGCCAGGTGGGTCATGGGAACTGTGACGTAGGCCTGCCTGGCCCAGGAAGCAGCCCAGATACTGACACACCCTGAGTGTGTACAGCGTCAATCCTCATGGGACTGCCCAGCACACGAGTCCCTCGTCCCTCCCCAGGCACCCAGTGCGACAGGCACCCTCACCCAACCAAACCCACCAGGATCTAAACTAAATTCTTCCTCCTTTTCTGTTCAAATTTATATAATTATTTTTGGAATAAGTAGTACATTTAAACTTTTCAAAATTTAAGACACCAAAAATGTGCCATAAAAAAAAAAATCTCCACCTCAGCACACAGCTCCTTAGGTCTGCTCCCAAGAGACAACCACTCTAAATTCCCATTAAAATAATCAAACTTAATTGCTTCCCCCTTACAAAAGTCATGAGCATTCAGAGCAAAAGCTAACTTAAAAAAAAAAAAACCACCTTGGAACACACAAAAGTACAAACTGAAAACCTCACCCTCAATGCTGCCATTCAGAGATACTCAGCATTTTAGCGTATGTCCTCCTAGACTGCTTTCAACGCACATCCACTTTACAAAAAATGAAAACAAAATGCAAGAAGAGATTCACAATATTGATTTTTCAACATCTCACTAGAATCTCAGAAATGTTTCCTCATACCTTCTTCCTTAAGTGACTTTAATAGCTCTGTGATCTTCCACAGACAATGATTTATTCAAGCAGACCACAGAGATGGGCATTTGGGATTTCTACATTTTCCTTACTAGAAGCAGCAGTGATGGATGGGCCCTGTGACTCCACTGTAACAAATTCCTAGAAGAAATGCTGGGTCACAGGATATGACCACTTTTTAATATCCTGGCCTAGACCCCTAGATACCTATCACAAACCGCCCTCTAGCCAACTGCCTCGATCAGCAGGACTAGGTGTCCAACCCAAATTTAGAGCTATTTAAGAAAAGGCCAAGAAGTCTTGGTTCATAACCGTCTGAACAGCAGCTGTGAGGGCCTTAATCCCACCTCCAAATCCAGACTAAGGCCAAAGGCCTCCTCTGGGCTGGCAACCTGCCTTGTTTACCCAGCCACAGCCCTCACCTGTGCCCATCCCAGTCCAAGGTGAGTCAGCTGAACAGGGGACAGGCACCACCCTTCCCAGATCAGGAAGCCAGCTGAGAGACAGGGCTACGTTTCAGGGAGGGAAACAGATTCAGCAGCGGCAGCAGCTGGAGAAGGTCGTGGAGCAGCACCTTGCCTGCAGGTAAGCGCTGGGGGCCCTGACCCAATCCTGGCTGGGATTGGGATGAGTGAGACCTGCTCTCACCCTGTCCCCTTCCCTCCCTGCCCCTTCCCTTCTGGGACTTCCCAGGCAGCTTCCTTTCGAAGTGCTTCACTCCAAGCAGTCAAGTGTGAAGTGGGGTTTCTTCTTCTGATCCCAGCCCTGGACCAAGTTTGATTAAGGGCTGAGTGATTTTCTTCACCCAGACATCATGAGGGCCCCCGATGCCTTCTGACTGCCCATGACTGTGCTCAAGGAGATGAGATCCACACTTTGCTCCTTGAAAGGCCAATTCCAGCCGAAACCAGAGGCTGCAGGCAGGCAAAAAGCCCATTTCTCCCAAGGAATCCACAGCTCAGGCCGACTTCTCTGGCCTGAGGCTGTTTCTATCAAAAAACCTTCCTGCCACAGCACTGAAACACCTGCTGGGGAACTGCGCCAGGGGCTTCACCTTTCTAAGAACTGGTTTCTTCATCTGGAGACTGAAAATAGCCCACAAAGTCAGGAGAATGGAAGGACATACTGGACACAGGAGCCAGTGCATGCCCTCCTCAGCAGGGTCTCAGAAAATGGGGCAGAAAACGAGCCTGGTATGGGCTGGGCGAGCACTGGACAGGCAGCTTCACGTACAGTGGCCCAAGCTCATGACAATTCCACCACCATCACTTCCCACCTGGGCTCCTGCTCCCACTCCTGCCCTGTAGCCCATCCTCCAAACATCAGCCAGAGGAGGCCTGTCAAAATAACCCTTGGACCTTGGCACTCTGCTGCTACAAATCCCCCAGTGGCTCCCATCTCACTACAGTAAATGCCAAAGTCCTCACCATGACCTCCAGGCCCTCCAGGATCTGGCCCCTCTCACTTCTCCAGCTTCCTCCCCACTACTCCTCCTTACTCCCTCTCTGCACAACTGGCTTCTCACTGGCAGATGTCCTCTAAACACAACACCAACTCCCACCTGAGAGGCTCTGCAATGGCCGTGCCCACCCCATTAGGCCTTTCCTCAAATGTCACCCCACCCAGCCAGCAAGGCTTCTGAACCTCCTGACATGACCCTCCGTCCTGCTCTTTCTCTCCAGTGCCTCCCACCATCTAACACAGCACACAGAGTCACAAAGCCTATTTATCCAGCTCTTCCCCCAAAGAAAGTACATTTGGGGACCAAGTCTTCTTTCCTTCACTGCTGATACCTAGAACAGTACTCAGACTTAGCAGGTGCTGAGTAAGTAAGCGCTGAAACAATGAATAAACAGCTAACTTTTACTGAATGCCTATTATGTGCTAGGTGCTGTGCTAAATGCTTTCCATATACACCTTAACTCTTTTTAAAAATCTTTCAGTCTCCAGACAACTGTGATGCAACTATTGTTATCCAGATTACAAAGGAAGAAATGACATTCAAAGGGGATTTGCCTATGCTGTGCTCTCACAAGTCAGAAGCAGTCAGTCTGAACCCTGCCCTGCCTGGGCCTGGGTTCAGGCGTGTCTGCTTGAGGAAGTCACAGCTTTTCCCCAGCAGGCAGTGCAGCACTGAGAGGAGGAGTGGGGGTACATGCTGGTGGCCTAGCAACAGCTTCTTCTATTCCGACTCACCACATCCCTGGGCTAATTTGGCCTTCCAGGAGCTATTCCTCTGACACTCTAACCCACGCTTCCCTCCCGCGCACTGTCTTGTAAAGGACGGATGAGCTGTCCACAGGAACGAGTGGGAGTTCCATCACTTCAGCTCTTTGGAACAAAGTGTTCCAAAGAGTGTTCTCACTCTAAGTTCAAAGATGGGGGCTGAAGTCCCCTTGTCAGCCCTGCTGATCTCCGAAGCCCAGCTATTGGTTTGTTGTGGGTGTTGTTATTGCTTATATCAAAAAGTACAGAAGCTCAGGGATGGAAATCTGGAAAGGGCTGTGGGAGAGGAAAATTCCTCTGAGAGAGAGGGGTTAGGTGGGTTCTTTTCCTTTCGGAGGAACCAATTACTTGTGGGAAGCCATCAGCACAGAACTGAGCAAACTTCCACTGTCAGATTATAGGAGCCAGGCAGCCTTTCAACCTAACTCGTTAGGGCCATGGTTTCTCTCCTTTTCCAGGCCCAGGTTATTCTTCGAAAGACTTTCTACTTATTGACTGCAAACACAGACAGGCATGGGAAGAAAGACTGTATATTTAGGATATCAGGCTTTCTCTTCTCTCTGTGCCTGCTTTTCCACTCCTTTCAGAAATAGTAATGGGATGCCTGTTGTGTGCCAGGCACTGTGCTCAGCACTGGGGGTTAACAAATGAGTGACATTTCCTGACCAGTGAGGGAGATGAGCAAACAAACACAGCACAGTGGAAATCCAACCTAGGAAATGCAGAAGGCCTTGCTCATAGTAGGTGATTAACAAACACTTGTGGAATATATGATGAAGAGGCAAATACAAGAAATGCTGTCGTCTAGAGAAGGGAGGCTTGCCAATCTCCATGCGTACAGGTGGGGGAAAGCTTTAAATTGGAGGAAAAAGAGTTCACAACAAGGAAAAGAGAGAAGGCATGAATGACTCTTAAGACAGAGGGAATAGCACCTGCAAAAGCATGGAGGCATGAACTAGCAGGCTGACTTTTAGGACTCAACCTAAAGTAGTCTGGAATAAATGAACTTCATGATAAGTGTGGAGAAGAATGAGATGGTGAGAATGGAAACATTACCAGAAGTCAGGTCACAGAGATTTGAGGGCAAGAAGTAGGTATGGCTTCAGAAGGGAAAGGGAGGAGCTGAGGATAACTCCCAGATTTCTGACATAGCCCATGGGTGGATTCAGTGAGACCGCTGGGGAGGCGCGGCACAGCTGGGGAAAATCACGAGTCCAGTTTGGATAATCTGCGAGGTAAACGGGATCCAGAAGGCAACTGGACTCTCAGGCCTGGGCCTCCCTGTCCCTGGAATAGCACACTCTCTTCCCACTTGAACATCCATCCTACACGGCCCAGTCAGGGTCTTCTTCCTTCCTCCAGGAGACCTTCCTGATTGCCCTAGCCTTCCTCCTATACGCCACATCCAACTGCCTGAGTCCCTCATAACAGGCTTTCGGTCTGATTTTGCTGTGGGAATTGATTTGCCCGGCCAAGCCAAGAACCCTTCCCTAGGCAGCAGAAGCCCAGTCACTCAGTCACTGGTGGGTGGGACGCGGGGTGAATCTGCGTAGGGTGGGGCGGGGCATTTTTAGCTCAACACTGGGTCAGAAGTCACGGCCAGACAAGAAACGGGTGAGAAACGGGGGAGGAAGGGTGACGTCACAATTGGTAGGAAATACCTTGGGACTTGACGCTTTCGAAACCAAAGGGAGAGCAAAAGCAGCCGGGAGCGCGCGGGCCGACCTGGTTCTCCTCCCTTCCCACGGCTGCCTTAGTACAGAATCTTATAAGTCCTCCTCCTTCAGAGGCTACAAATGGTGTTCCGAGGCCAGGGGAGTTTAAAGCTCGATTTCACCCGCGCAGCCTCCAATCCGGTAAAGAGGGGCCGCGGAGCCCGACCAAGTCTTCCTATGCCTTACTCTGCTGCTTTACCTGATCTATTTTTGTGGATGCCGGCGCCAGCTACGGGCGCCCGGAGAAAGCACGAGGCCGGGTGGACTCTGGTAACGCAAGCGGCAAGGAGGCCGCCATGTTCCACTCTGCAGCCGCTAGGGATCGTGGGAGTCACCCCTAACCGCGCCCGGGCCTGGGTGGGCGAAACGCATGCGCTCTAGAAGTTGCTGAGTCGCTTGGCGGTGTTTCTGCGCAGGCGCCGTAGCCCATAGCAACCGCCGTAACCTGTAGCAACCGGAAGATGTCGCTTCCGGCTGGTTTGGGGCTAAGAAAGGGGTTATAGTCATTTCGAGATCATAGAACGATGTGACAGATAGGAAACTGAGGCTGGGTTGGAGGCAGGCCCTAGGGACCGTTGCGTTGGACCTCGCTCCTGTGGCGCGGTGGATGGAGTTTGTGGCTTGTGGCTCCTATTTCCCAAAGCAGGAAATTGAGACAGAGGGAAGGCACAGGTTCGTCCTGAGGCTGCAGCCCAGGTGATGGTTCCCCGGGTAAAAAATCAATATGATGCCCTTTGTTTATAAGGAGAAGGCAGGGACATGAAAGTAATTTCTAATAAAAGAATATGCATTTCACTTTGTAAAAGCTGAGGCTGGCTTACACCCGATCACGCTTGTACCCAACTTAGGAATCAGCTTAGGTTTACTAGAAGACAATATTCAGCTGAATTTTGCCAACAGTTTATATCTGACATCTTGAGTCAAAGGCTAAATATATTTATATAAAAGCGCGGAGTCACTGTGACAGCTACACATGTACACAGACGTGAGCATGCTGTTCGGGTGACTCACCCGTGGGGAGCAGGGTGGGCAGCGATTTTCCAGAATGGTGAGCAAAGTGTAACTCCCCACAACCAACCTGATATATGCATTTCCAGACAGTCTAGTGTGTACTAAAACTAGGGAAAAATTCATTGTGATTGTATGTACAACCAATTATAACGGATTTTTGGCTTACTTGAAAGTTTGGCAGGATATCTGAAAGTTGTGCGGGACAGGACCATTTGTTATGGTGACTGTAATGGACTGTCCCATCCATTACAGGAGTTTCATATCCCTGCCCCCCCCACCCCCGACAGGGATATGACTGTCCCCTCAGTCTCGTGACACCCAAAAATGCCCACATAAATTTCCAATCTGTTCCTTGGAAAACCACTGATTTATTCAGTCAAATAATTTTTGCTAGCATATGTGTGCTGGGCAGTGCCGTGGCGGGGAAGGATCGTGTGTGAACGGGACAGAGCTCCTGCCCTTATGAGTGAGGTCCAGTGTAAGAAAATACCCAGATATTAATCACATAATTTGATAAATAGCTTGGCAACAGGGGCAGTACAGGTCAGGGGTGGAATACATGGGAAGACCCAGCCAGGCAGCCTGGGTATCATGCAGTCTGGAAAAGCCAAGCAGAGAAGTAGCATCTGAACTGAGCCTCGAAGGAGCATCACACCAAGGAGGATGATGTGCACAGCAGAGGGACCAGCACGTCTGGCACACAGTGGACACTCAAATGTTTTGAATGATTGAACGAAACACAGCATGTTCGCTGGCAGGGAACCATTCCCCATTATATTGTGAGCTGCTACAAGGCAGGGGATACAGTATGCCTTTCCTATCCCCAGGTTTCACATCCATGGATCCAACCAACTGTAGACAGAAAATATTTAAAAATAAAAATTAAAAAAAACAACAAAAATTCAAATAAAAATAAAATATAACTTTGTTTAGCATTTACATTGCATTAGGTATTGTAAGTAATCTAGAGATGATTTAAAGTATACAGAAGAATGTGCATAAGTTATATGCAAATATTATGCCACTTTATGTAAGGGACATAAGCAGCTGTGGATGTTGGTATCCGAGGGATGGGGAGTGAGGGGCATTGTCCTGGAACCTACCCCAAGGAACGACTGTACCTGTTTTCTCACTTCCCCGCATCCCAGCACTAAGATGGGATCCAGAGAAGGTGGCAGTGGTGAAAGGATCTCAGACACAGAAAAAGGGTTATGTGATCTGGCCCGGGAGTGATTTCCAGGAAATGGATCTCTGACTCCCTGCTCTCCCAGGGGACAGCTGACAAAAATATAAGTGCTCTACTGGTTAAATGTTAGGAAAATCAGGGCAGGAGTGGCTGCTTATTTTCGCATCTGCTGTTCATGCGTGGTCCTGGTGGCAGGTCATGTTTTGGCAGATGATAGCTGCTCAGGACTGTCCCAAGATTAAAAATCTCATAGTGTGTGTACACAGTGGGGAAGGCTATAAGCAAAGGGGTCTCTTCCCCCAGGTGGTCTAAAGGAAGTCAGAGCCAGACTCCCTCCCCTCCCAGGAAATTCCTGTCCTGTTGGGATGGTCATTTCTACCCCAAAGGCCAGGCTAGGGCAGGGTCTGGAACTGGCTGCCTCCAGGAACCAAGCAGGCAACGTAAATCAGTGAAGGGCTGATGGGTACTTGCGGAAACAGGAAAGCACGTACAGCCCCATTTGCGAGGTAGGCTGTGACTCAGCCGGGTGAGTGTTGCCATGCACTATTCCAGCTCTTGCCTTGCCAAATGTTTATATTTTTTTCAATCCAAGTAAGAAGTGACGCATTTTGTGTTTCCAGATTTTTAAATATTGGCACTAATTCAGATTTTAAAAACAAAAGGCTGGGCATAGT
Organism: Homo sapiens; assembly: GCF_000001405.40. NCBI lineage: Eukaryota > Metazoa > Chordata > Mammalia > Primates > Hominidae > Homo > Homo sapiens. Next base: position 1,322,857 of record NC_000020.11, on the reverse strand, counting down.
GGCTCAGGCCTGTAATCCCAACACTTTGGGGGACCGAAGCGGGCAAATTGCTTGAGCCCAGGAGTTCAAGACCAGCCTGGGCAACATGCTGAAACCCTGTCTCTACAAAAAATACAAAAATTAACCAGGTGTGGCGGCATGCACCTATGTCCCAGCTACTTGGGAAGCTGAGGTGGGAGGATGGCTTCAGCCCAGGAGTTGGAGATTGCAGTGAGCCAAGATCGCGCCACTGTACTCCAGCTTTGGCAACAGAGTGAGACTCTGTCTCAAAATAATAATAATAATAAAACAGGACTGTGAGAGGCACATTTGGGACTTCTGGTCCTTGTTTCATCCAGGAAGGTGGGTGTTCTTAGGATACTAGAGCTTTACTTTACAAGGAGAAAAGTGGAAGCCCAGGTAGAATGTGTTGCTTCTGGCAATATTATTGAGCTAGCCTCCATGCTAGGGGTTAGAGGCTTCACAGCAAATGAGAAGCCCCTGTTCCTGCCATCTTGGAACTCCTAAGGAGGTAGACAGACAAGTAAAGAGGCAACCACAAGAGTGGTGAATACTCAACAGGAGTAGGACATGGAGCAGGGGCTAGGGGGAGCACAAATCAAAGCAGGCTTCCTGTAAGAGGAGCTCCCTGATCTGAGACTTGAAAATTATTAGGAGTTGGCCAAGCAAGGAGCAGGGAGAGGAGGGGTATTCCAGATAGAAGGAATAACACATGCAAAAGAGACAGGAGGGAATCACATGCAAGGACGTGGAAGTAGCTCATTGTGGCTGGAGTTGAAAGTAGCAGCTGAAAGGACGTAAGGCAAGAAATGAAGCTGGAGAGGTAGACTAGGGTTGCAAACAAATATCTATTGGGACTTGGCACCAGTGAGTACAATGGTCTGGGTGTAACAGCCAATAGAGGATGGTGGACTGGGTCACCCTGGAGTCTGCTGCTACTCAATTGTAGCTACTCTGCTATAGCCTAGGGTTGCCAAAGCTTCCTGTTTTTTGGGAGCAGTGGGAAATTCGATTATTAAATCCAGTACCTTGAGCTTTGTGTTTAAGCTGCTAATCTGAACGTTTACAGTACTCCACAAGGTCAAATAAAATCTATTTCCATCTGGCCCTGGGCCCACCAGTTCCAATCTCTGGTGGAATCGTGAAGGCCCTGTGAGCCTCTTTAAGGAGAGTACATTCCCAAGGCAGGGAAGCCACTGGCGGGCTTTCAGCCAGGGCATGACATCCCAAGTGTGTACACAAAGGGCCTGGTGGCTGCTGTCTGGAGAGCAGCAGGACGGCAGGAGGGGAGGCAGCAGTGTGTTTGGAGGGTGTTATGGCACCTGGAGAGGGCCAGGGAGATGATGGGGACCTGCACAACACGGGATGTGGGAGAGATGGGATTTGATGACAGACAAGAAGGGATAGTGGGGGCGGGGCCAAGGATGACACAGGGGTCAAGGCAGCAGGTGCAGAGGGAGGAGAAGGAGCAGTGATGGATGAGTATGTCCTCGGCGTGCCTGTGGTCACTCAGGGAGGTGCCCAGCGGATCTGATCCTGGGAAGCCTGGAGTCACATCGCTCAGGCACAGGACCCTCAGTTTCCTGTGCCACCAGCGGGCATTCCTTTATCATGTGTACCCATCACATGTGAGTTCAGTGGGGTGAATAGGACACACCTTTACCCCTCAGAACTGCAGTCAGGACAAGTGGCGAGTTCAAGCAAGAGGCTGGCCCGGTGCTGTCCCGGAGCTGTCCCGGAGGGCAGGGTCCTGGGTGGGAGGGGCAGTGACCGTATTGCCTGGGAGCCAGGGGAGGCGTGTCCCACAGGAACCGAGGGTGACAAGGAGGTTGGGCAGGGGCTCCAGTTGGAGTGGACTGCCTCAGCGAAGCCTGGAGGTGTGACAGAGCCAGTGGTTAGTGAGTAAAGGGAAGGAACCCAGAAAGGCAGACTGCTCCTTCCCCACATTTCGTCAGGAAGGGAATAAAACATTTCTTAAGAGGTCATCATTCCTTTCACTTTCTCGGGGCACCTTGCTCAGAGGTCCTGCTGATTCTCCCTGGGACAATGAGAAGGTGTTTAGTAAATAAGTGCTCATGGTGCCTCTCCACCCCCCATTCCCTCCTCCCTCTGGAGCAGTGCCCTGTTGAGTGTCTAAGTTCTGCTACAGTTTGTGTGAGAGTCTTTATAAATTTCCTACTGGTCTTACTTCATTGTGGCCAAGATTAAAAGTTGACAGTGAGGCTGGAGATGAGTGGAATACAGTAGAGTTCAAATATCGACAGGGGATTAGGGGTGGAGTTCGGGGAGGCATTCTAAGTGCCCTGCTGCCTTTCTGTTTGAATATTAAGTTCCAACCCGCTTGCTGTTGCGGATGTCTGTGCCTCCTTTCAAGGGGGCATCAGCTGCATCCTTATCCTTCCCCACCCTCTGCACTCTGCAGGGTGTTCTGAGAATCAGCCATGTCATCCCTGTACCCATCTCTAGAGGACCTAAAAGTGGACCAAGCCATTCAGGTAAGTCGCCAGGCCCCATTGGCCTGGATTCCCTGAAGGGGACCTTGGGGATTACCCTGGAAGGTGCTGGGTACTGGGGCCACTTGGAGATTCCCGTAGGCCTCAGGGCATGTAGGTGTCCACTGCAGGGCCTGCTGGGCAGAGAAGACATCCAGGGGGCAATGCCAATGGCGTTACAGCAAGAATAGAAAAGACCAAGCAGCGCACGCATGCCTCTCTCATGCCTGCTCTGTCCTGCCCAGGCCCAGCTCTCCCTCCCTCCAGGATGGGCGGGCTCCATGCTCTAAGGCAGGCTTTCAGAGGAAACAAGACTAGTGGGCATAGGCATTGGTCTGCTTAGCCCCCAGAAGCCCCCTTCCTCCTCCATCCCAGCACTCTGTGGTTCCAGTGGGTTTTGAGAAATGGAGACTTTTCAGCTGAGAACTTGATTGGGAGATGGGCCTTGATGTTCTGCCTGTTGCAGGCAGTAAATGGGTTGTGACATAGGGTGGGTCACAGTCCCCCAGAACTTCCTCCCAGGAAAAGACACATCTGCGGAGGCCACGTTTACGTGATCTTGAGCCCTGAGGGTTGGTGCACACTCCCCCCACACCCCGGGCCCACTCACACCCCTAATGCCCAGACCCTGGCCTCATGGAGCTCCAGGCTCTGGGGTTCCTGGGGTCCTGGCCACAGCTGACCAGTGCTCCCTGCTCCTCCCCAGGCCCAGGTCAGAGCCTCACCCAAGATGCCAGCCCTGCCAGTCCAGGCAACAGCCATTTCCCCACCACCAGGTGAGTGGGCTGGGATGAGGGGCTCCTGGGTGCCAAGTCCTTTCAGGGAAGAGATCATCAGGGAAGCTTGGCAATGCCAAAGGTATGGGAGGCTCCAGGGTTAAGGACTCAACATGGTGGGAAGAGAGGACCAGGCTTCCAGTTGCCACCCACCTCTTACTGCCTGGGTGACCTGGGCTGAGTCACCTCACCTCCCAGAGCCTGTGCCCATGCTGTTCCCCTCCCTCCTTGACTGCCTGGTGAACCCCTGTTTATCCTTCCAAACCCAGCTCAAGTTAGGGAAGCTATGGCTTCTCTGATGCCCCCAGCAAGGCTGCCTTGAGGATGTGATATCATTTGTGGGGCCTCTGTCTATATAAACGATTTGAGTCACCTCAAATCAGCATTTCAGCACCATTCTGGTGATCCAATCTCATGTGACCCCGGGAATGAAATACCACACTTGTCAGACTTCCTTGCTGGAACTATGGCTGGCCTGGGGTGGGGGCAGGTGGGGAAGAAGTGGACGGCAGATAGCGGCTCAAAGAGAGAAGGGGCCAGAACCCCACTTGCCTTATTCAGCTTAGGCTTCCATAACAAAATACCATAGGCTGGATGACTTCAACAGCAGAAATGTATATTCCCACAGCTCTGGAGGCTGGAAGCCCAAGATCAAGGTTCTGGCCAATTCAGTTTCTGGTGAGGCCTCCCTTCCTGGCTTGCAGATGGCCACCCTCTGGCTGAGTCCTTACATGGCCTTTCCTCAGTGTACTTGCTTAAAAGAGAGAGAGAAAACGAGAACACGAGAGAGATACAGCATGAGAGCGCATGCATGAGCCCTCTGTTGTCTCTTCTTATAAGGACACAAATCCTTATAAGAAGGGATTAGGACCCTGCCAGTCCTGGTGGGAACCATTCGCTGAGGGATGCAGAGGTTTCTGGGTGTCAAATAAAGTCAGTGGAGTTGAATAGCAAAGTGGTGCATGAGGACTCGGTGTCCTACCCTGCACCTGGGCCCTCTGAGGAGCGCTCATCAGTGAGTGTTCCTGGGGATACCCCACAGTCTTGGAAATAAATACCATTCCCAGGCTCCATTTCTTAATAAAAATGAGCAGCCACAGGGGAGCCAGGCAGGCATAGGGAAGCACATGTCCTCTAATGACACATTTATTCTTCCTTCTTTCCCTATCAGTTTTGTACCCAAACTTGGCAGAACTGGAAAATTATATGGGTCTTTCCCTCTCCAGCCAAGAAGTCCAGGAGAGCCTGCTTCAGATTCCAGAGGGTGACAGTGTATGTATTTGGCTTCTGCCTGCTGCGGGCGCAGAACCTCCCAATCCTCCCTTTTTCCTGGTCTTGCCATTTCAACAGACCTTCTTTCTCTCTGTGCTCGGACCTCCCCTCTCCCCAGCACTCTGCTGGCTCTGTTTCTTGATGGCACCGTTCATTTTGAGGCTTCACGAAAACCACTGTGGGCTTTCATGGTTTCAGATCTTCCCACAAGCCTTGGGGATGGAGAACCAGGGCTTGCCCTTTGACCTTGGGCCTGAGCTGGATGAGAAGGGAGGTCATTAAGCCCAGCGTGAACCTGGGGACATCAAAAGCAGGGCTGCCTGCATGGATAAACAGAGCCGAGAGGGCAGGAGCTCGTCACCCAACTCTGGTCCCCAAATTAAACAACAAGGCTCAATTCCTGCTTTCCATGGCTTCGGGGAGCAAAAGACACCATCACAGAAATATATGCCACTGAAAACATATTTACCTGTAGAACCAGTCCCCGCCTAAGCCCCTTGCCAGTTAGCTCTAGCATCCCTGCGTCCCACCTGTCAGTCTTCCTGCCAGGCTCGTCCTGAGCCGATGAAACTGAAAGTACAAACTGCAAAGTTGTCTAAGGCTGGGGAATTTCATGAAGTTCATGGATATGATGATAGAGAACTGTCACAGACACATACAAAGCCACTGCCAAAACGAGGATCTGACAGGAGGAAATCCACAAGGATGAGGCCATGTGGGACCCTGAGAAGAACTGATGGCACCCTGGGGTGTTTCTCCACAGTGGCCCCCTTCATGGTCGTGCTGTGAAAGGCAGACATGAAGCAAAGAAGGTCCTTCTGTAGGCAGCCCCACTGTCATCACTCTTTGTTCCTATAATTAAGACATAAATGCATTCAACCGTAATTTTGATAAAATATAAGATGATGAATACATTTTTATAATTTAAAATTTTGTATGTCTTTTAACTTTTTATTGTTAAACAGTAGATTCCCAGGAAGATGCAAAGTGAGTACAGAGAAGTTGTTAGTACCCTTCACCCAGTTTCCTCAATGCTTATGTTTTCCATAGCTATAGTACACTATCAAAACCAGGAGTCTTACGCGAGTACAGTGTGTCTCTAGTTCTATGTCATTTCATCAGTGTGTAGATTCATGTAACCAGTACTGCAATCCATACAGAACTAGTTCATCACCACAACCACCTCCCTCCCAGGCTGCTTCTGTATAGTTATGCCTGCCTGCTTGCCACCCTCCCTAACCCCTGGCATCCGGCCCTCTGTTTTCCATCTCTATAATTTTGTCATTTCAGAATGTTACATAAGTGGAATCGTACAGTATGTGACCATTTGAGGTTGGCTTTTTTCACTCAGCACAATACCCTCTAGATCCATCCAGGCTGTTGTGTGTGTCAATAATAGTTCATTCCTTCTTACTGCTGAGTAGTATTCCATGATGTGAATGTACCAGGGTTTGTTTAACCTGTTGAAGAATAGCTAAGTTGTTCCCAGTTTTTGGTGGTTACAAACAAAGTTATTCTTATACAGGTTTTTGTATAGACATACGTTTTCATTTCTCTAGGATAAATGCCCAAAGTGCAATTGCTAGGCTGTATGACAAATGTATGTTTAAGTTTTTTAAAGAAACTGCCACCAGGTGTGGTGGTGCATGCCTGTAATCCCAGTACTTTGGGAAGCTGAGACAGGTGGATCACTTGAGCCCAGAAGTTCGAGACCAGCCTGGGCAGCATGGTGAAATCCTATCTCTACAAAAAATACAAAAATTAGCCAGGTATGGTGGCTTGTGCCTGTAGCCCCAGCTACTCAGGAGGCTGAGGCAGGAGGATTGCTTGAGCCCAGGAGGTGGAAGCTGCAGTGAGCCAAGATCACAGCACTGCACTCCAGCCTGGGTGACAGAGTGAGACCCTGTCTCAAAAAGAAACTGCCAAACTAGTTCCTGGAGTGGCTATACCATTTTATTTTGCCGTGAGCAATACATGAGTGCTCCAGTTTCTTCATGTCTTCACCAGAATTTGGTATTATTACTATTTTATATTTTAGCCACTATGATAGGTATAATGATGGCTCATCATGGTCTTAATTTGCATTTCCCTGGCACCTGATGATGTGGACCATCTTTCCATGTGCTTATTACCATCTGTATATTCTTTCCGGTAAAATGTTTCTTCATATATTTTACTCATTTTCTAAATGGCTTGTTTTCTTCTTCTTGTTTTTTGAGACAGGGTCTTGCTCTATTGTCCAGGCTGCAGTGCAGTGGTGCGATCACGGGTCACTGCAGCCTCCACCTCCCGGGTCAGGTGATCCACCCACCTCAGCCTCCCGAGTAGCTGGGACCACAGGTGCACACCACCATGCCCAGCTAATTTCTTTTATTATTGTTATTTTTATTTTTTGCAGAGACAAGGTCTTGCTATGTTGGCCAGGCTGGGGCTTGTCTGTAGTGTTTTGGGAGTTCTTTGTGTATTCTAAAGTCCTTTGTCAGATGTGTGGTTTATGTTTTCTCTCAGTCTGTAGCTTAACAGTTCTGAATTTTGATGAGGTCCAGTTTATTGATTTTTTTTTCTTTTGTGGCTCATACTTTGTAAAGAAATATTTACCTAGCCCTAAGTCCGAAAGATTTTCTCCTTCGTATTCTTCTAAAATGGTTATAGTTTTATGTTTTGCGTTTACGTTTATGATTGAATTTGGGTTAATTTTTTTGTAAGGAGTTAGGTTTCAGTCAAAGTTCATATTTTTGCCATGGTTGCACCATTTGCTTTTTTTGTTGTTTTGTTTGTTTGTTTGTTTTGAGATGGGGTCTCACTCTGTCACCCAGGCTGGAGTGCAGTGACATGATCTTGGCTCACTGCAACCTCCGCCTCCTGGGCTCAAGCGATCCTCCCATCTCAGCCTCCTGCGTATCTGGGACCACAGGCACGTTCCAGCACACCTGGCTAATTTTTGTATTTTTGTAGAGATGAGGTTTCACCCTGTTGCCCAGGCTGGTCTTGAACTCCTGACCTCAGCTGATCTCCCTGTGTTGTCCTCCCAAAGTGCTGAGATTACAGGCATGAGCCACTGCGCCCAGCCAACACCATTTGTTGAAAGCACTCTTGCAAAAAGCAGTTGACTTTACTCATTTGAGGCTATTTCTGGATTTTCTACTTTGTTCCACTGATACTTGTCTATCCCTTCACCAGTACCACACTGTCTTGATTATTGTAGCTATATATAATAAGTCTTGAAATTTGGTGGTGATTCCTCTCGCTATTCTTTTTGTCAGAATTGTTTTAGCTATTCTAAATTCCTTTGTCTTTTCATATAAAGTTTAGACTAACCTTCCCTGGATCTGCAAAACATCTTGTAGAGATTTTGATAGAAATGGTGTTATATCTGTATATCAATTTGGTGGCAATTGACAGCTTTACTAATTCTTTCAACACGTGAATACAGAGAATCTTCCATTTATTTAGGTCTTCTTTGATATCTTTTATCAGTATTTTGTTGTTTTCAGCATACGGTTCCTGTATGTGTTTTGTTAGATTTACACGTATTTCTTTTTGTTGTTCTTGTTTTTAGGTTTTATTTTGCTTCGTTTTTGTTTTTAACAGAGATGGGGGTCTTGCTTTGTTGCCCAGGCTGGTCTTGAACTCCTGGCCTCAAGTGGTCCTCCGGCCTTGGTCTCCCAAAATGCTGGGATTACAGGAGTGAGCCACTGAGCTCGGCCTCTTTTTTTTTTTTTTTTTTTGAGTGATTGTAAGTGGTATTGTATTGTATTCCTTTTCTTTTCTTTTCCTTTCTTTTCTTTTCCTTTCCTTTCCTTTCCTTTTTTTTTTTTTTTTTTTTTTTGAGGTGGAGTCTTGCTCTGTCACCTAGGCTGGACTGAGCAGTGGCTCAGTCTTGGCTCACTGCAACCTCCACCTCCTGGGTTCATGTAATTCTCCTGCCTCAGCCACCTGAGTAGCAGGGACTACAGGTGCTTGCCACCAGCCCAGCCAATTTTTGTATTTTTAGTAGAGAGGAGGTTTCAACAGTTGCCCAGGCTAGTCTTGAACTCCTGGGCTCAAGTGATCCATCTTCCTCGGCCTCCCAAAGTGCTGGGACTACAGGCATGAGCCACCACGCCCAGCCTGGTGTTGTATTTTAAATTTCAGTTTACATGTGTTCGTTGTTAGTATACAGAAGTACAATTGAATCTTGTGTGTTAATTTTGTATCCCAGGACCTTGCTAAACTCTTTTATTTGGTCTAGGAGTTTATTTGTAGATTCTTTGGGATTTTCTAGTAGACCATCGTGCCATCTATAAATAGGAACCGTTTTATTTCTTCTCTTCTGATCTGTGTGACTCCCCCTCTTTTCTTGCCTACTGTGCTGGCTAGGTCTTCCAGTACCATCTTTAATAGTGTTGGGAGAGTGAAGTTCCTTGCCTTTTTCTGCATCATGAATTTGTATATTTTTACATTTTTCTCAAGACAAAAATCCAGTCCTTTTATCCCCTGTTGCTCACTATTTACTGTGACTTTTTCTATTTTAAGTGGGTTTTAAAGGAGGCTTTTCCTGATGCCAGTTTCCCTTGGGAAATGAAGGGCCTCTTCCTGTATCCTCGCCCCTTCCCTCCCCGTTTTCCTGGCTTTTTAAGGGCATGGACTTTGACGCCCCCTAGTGGCCGCGTGGAGCCACGTCTCCTCTCGCCCCTAGGGGAGAAGCGTGGACTGGGGACGTGGGGGGACCCGGGGACGGCTCCATCCTCCTTTCCCCATCCCTACCCCCACCCCAGTGTCTCCTGAGGCACAGGGTCCCCACGGGCCGGGCTGACCCCCTGCCCCCTGGTGTCTGCAGACAGCGGTCTCGGGCCCCGGGCCCGGCCAGATGGTGGCACCGGTAACCGGGTACAGCCTGGGCGTGCGGCGAGCTGAGATCAAGCCCGGGGTGCGCGAGATCCACCTGTGCAAGGACGAGCGCGGCAAGACCGGGCTGAGGCTGCGGAAGGTCGACCAGGTAGGGCGCGGGGGCTGGGTGGGAAGAGGAGCTCGAGCTGCACGCGCTCTCCCGCCAGGCCTCAGAGCTCAGAGGGCCCGTCCACAGTAAGGAAGGTGCAGAGCGGGCCTCCTAACCCCAGCGGCCAGGCTCTTGCCCCCAGTCCCTCCTCCCCGAGACCCGGGCGGGGCTGGTGCTGGGTTGCGCAGGGCCCTCCACTGGCCTCTCCGTGGGCTTCCGTCGCTCGGAGGAGCCTCCCTTCCCCACCTGCCCTTCGCTGCCCAGGGCATCTAGCTTCCAGGCGACGGTGTAGACAGCCGACGCCAGGGAAGCCCATGCCTTTGTGAATGGTACAGTGGAGTGTTTCGGAGTGCAGCCCCAGGCCAGGGTTGAAATCCTGACTCACCTGCTTCCTAACTATGAGGCCTAGAGTGTTTCCTCCCCGGTAAATGGGGTAACCTTGGTGCCTGCCATGCAGAGCTGTGTCCCTGGCACCCTGTAGGTTCCTGGAGTATCAGGAGGAAAACAACAGGTTGGAAGAGGGATCTGTGCCTAGGGTGGGCCAGGGACACTGACTCTGGGGCCCTGCCTCCCCCAGGGGCTCTTTGTGCAGTTGGTCCAGGCCAACACCCCTGCATCCCTTGTGGGGCTGCGCTTTGGGGACCAGCTCCTGCAGATTGACGGGCGTGACTGTGCTGGGTGGAGCTCGCACAAAGCCCATCAGGTGGTGAAGAAGGCATCAGGCGATAAGATTGTCGTGGTGGTTCGGGACAGGTGAGTAGCCAGGCCCGGGCAGCCTCTCCGTCTCACCCCAGCCATGTCCCCAGGACAGCTCACTGTCCCTCCTGCCAGGCCGTTCCAGCGGACTGTCACCATGCACAAGGACAGCATGGGCCACGTCGGCTTCGTGATCAAGAAGGGGAAGATTGTCTCTCTGGTCAAAGGGAGTTCTGCGGCCCGCAACGGGCTCCTCACCAACCACTACGTGTGTGAGGTGGACGGGCAGAATGTTATCGGGCTGAAGGTAGGCTGGTGGCCGCACCAGGGAGGGACTGCCGGGTGGTGGGAGGGCTCAGGTCTTTGGGCAGCTTGCTTACCCCACCTGAGCCTCAGCATCCTCTTCCTAAGGTTGCTGTGAGGGTTCAGTAAGACGGTGTTCGTAGGGCTGGGTGCGGTGACTCACGTCTGTAATCCCAGTGCTTTGAGAGGCCAAAGCAGGAGGATCACTAAGTCCAGGAGCACGAGACCAGCCTGGGCAATGTGAAACCCTCTTTCCACAAAAAAAACTAAAAAATTAGCCAAGCGTGGTGGTGCACACCTGTAGTCCTAGCTACTCAGGAGGCTGAGGTGGGAGGACTAATTGAGCCTGGGAGGTCAAGGATGCAGTGAGCTATGATCATGCCACTGCACTCCAGCCTGGGCAACAGAGAGAGACCCTGTCTCCAAAAAAAAAAAAAAAAGACAGTGTACCTAGAGCTCTGAGCACAGTGCCAGGCACATAGCAGGTGCTTAATACATAATAGCTATTGCTGGCTGCATGGACACCTCCTTGCTCTGTATGGCACTTTTTTTGGTATAGTGGATCATGTTCAGTAGTTTAGGAATGTTTTAGAAAATCGTTATTCAGAAATCCATGGGGTCGTGAGGTTCTTCAGAACTGGGTTTGTCCCAGCCAGCCACACTTCTTGAGATCGTTTGTCTTTTCAAAGTTTATTTCCACCTGTGGCCATCACTAGTCCTGTCTAGCACATCTTCTCACATTTATTTTCGAACAACCAAGAAAACACATAACCAGATAACATACATGTGTAATGTAAAGGTCAATAGGCTCTGAGTGAGGGCCAGAGGCTCTTCTATGGCCATAACGTTAGTGTTTGGACCACCTGGCACGCTTTGCGTAGAGACTTTTAATTTCTTGTTCTTCCCATGATCTAAGTGGTGTCTGCAGGCCCATCTCTTTTTATCAAACAAGCAAATGTAAGAGGATGTAAGAGGAGGAGGATCCTTATGGCCCTGGAGGCAGCAGGAGCCAGAGGGTGGATGGGTACGCCTAGTACCTCCCACAGGATGGGGAGGCATTTATGCTTTGAGGCCAGAACCCAAATGTGACTGTGGGCTTGGTGAGTCTCTGGGAGCCCTTGGAAGGGGGAGGAGAATCGCATTGATGAGGCCCTGTTACGCGTCAGGCTCACACCGCTGGCCTTCAAGCTGAGGGTGGGAAGAGGCATGCTCATTTGACCAAGGAGATCCTCAGGTGGGAGACCCATGTTCTCACTCAAGCAAGACCTTACCTGGGAGTCTGCTGGGACCCTCATCTGACAGGCTCGGGGTCCGAGGCAGCCCTGCCCTGCAGTCAGCCATCAGTGGTGTCCTCTAGCAGTGGCCATGCTGATCCCTCCACAGAGGGGCCTGTAGAGTTGCCCCTGGTCCCCAATCCTTAGGGTGATCGCTTACTTGCCTCCTCCCTAGGACAAAAAGATCATGGAGATTCTGGCCACGGCTGGGAACGTTGTCACCCTGACCATCATCCCCAGTGTGATCTACGAGCACATGGTCAAAAAGTAAGGCTGCACCCCTCCTCACCCCTCCTCACCCCTCCTCTGCCATCCCCTTCACCTCCCGGCCTCCCAGGTGCACCTGGCTCAGCCACTTCCACTTTCTCAGTGCTGACACAGGGCACAGGCTCAGCCAGCTCTATCCTCCCTTCCCCTCCCTCCAAGGTAGCTTGTGGCTTCTGGTGATTCGAAAGTCTTAGAACTGGGAGTGAAGGCCCACATGGGATGCACTGGCTCGGAAGGGGGTGGAGGTTGCTGGAGGGTGGAGAGAAGGAGCTGCCAACCTGGTCACTGTTGTTGCTGTATCCAGGTTGCCTCCAGTCCTGCTCCACCACACCATGGACCACTCCATCCCAGATGCCTGAAGCCACTGCAGGGCAGGGCAGGCAGGGGGGGCTTCCCGCCCTCCTGCAGCAAAGGGCAACCACCCTCGGATGATGGGTTGCAGCCGGCCTGCTGCTTAAGGTGGGGGCTGCCATGAGGGGGGCGTGTCCAGGAGGGTGACCATGGGATGGCTTATACACACAGGCCTCCTTGGAGCCTCAGACTCCAAGCTAGGCTGAGGCTCAGGCAGGGCCCACAGGCAGCCGATTCTCTTGTGCTGATTTAAATGCTGGACACGGAGGCAGGCTGTTTAAACGCTGCTTAAAGTCGCAACTGGGCCCCTTTCAAGAAATTTTGCTCTACCAGGAAAACAGTTACACATTTTAAGAGAACAGAGCTACGTTCTTTGTGAGAGCTTTTTCCTTGCCTTGACTTGCTCTTTGTCACAGACTGCATAAGTTGTCAGCCTTGACTATCTTTTGAATAAAGATTTGATTTTAAACAAAACCCTGTCCGCAAAGGTAATTGATTCCCCCAAAACTATTGAAAATAAAATAAAAAGGTAACTGAAAATTCTGGAATCCTTGGTCCCCTGACGTGCCAGGGCTGGTTTCCTCTTAAACCGTGGTGAGACCAGGGCCTTTTCTACGCGTGGCCTCTGAGAGCCATGATTTGGCTCTGCCTCTGTCACGTGCCACCTGCCAGCCTGGCGCGGGGATGACTGGAACTGGGGACAGGATGGAACTGTGGGGATGGGGTAGGACTGTGGGGCAGTGGGGCTGACAAAGGGAGCACTGGCTTTGGGGCACCCCCCGTGTGACCGTGGCTGCTTCTGCTTCTGCAAAGTGGGCATGAGAAGCCACTTTAGGGGGTGTTGGGGAAGGTGAGACGCGATGTGCTCATGGCGCCCAGCAGGGTGTGCCATGTGGGGGCAGGGGGAGGTGGCTCCAGACTCTGAGCCTGACCCCAAGAGGGCAGTGGTGCCTCAGCCCCACACAGCTCTCTGCTTCCCTGCACATCAGAGATGATCGCTGCCCACGTGGCTTTTTCCCGTGCGGGTGTTGTGACCCCTGCGCTGGAGGAAGATGGTGTGAACCCTCCCACTGCCTCCCCTTAGAGAAACCACCCAGTATAAAGAAAACAGGCCAAGGGGCTTGCTGTGTTTTCATGCTTTAATTCAGAGTTGTCTGCTGCAGGTACAACTCTGTCTGAACAAAAGGACAAAGGAGACAAGAGTCAAGATCCCTCCCCGCCTCCCCACTTCCCACATCCCCTGAATTCTTCGTGAAGGGGATGGCCTAATATGGGAATGCACTGTGACCTGTTTGCATTGTCCCCCAGGTCAGAGAGGGGGTTGTGAGTTCTCTGGGCAGAGGCCCCTGGGTAGGCCTTGGCCCCAGAACCTTGCAGTTTGTCCCACCCCTCCCCAAAGTGCTGTAAGATACCCCTGCGCTTGTGGCAATTGGGAAGGGTGTGTCAGTGAGAAGCTAAGTGATCCCCTTGGGAGAAATCTACAATAAACTCCACTCAAGCCCAGCTCTCTGTGCAGAGCCCGGGCCCCAGCGTCCGATTCCTGCCTGAGCCTGGACTGGCCGGGCAGTAGTGCCACTCTGGCCCGAGCCCTAGAACTCAGGAGAAGCCACGTCTGGCCGCTAGGCTCCAGAAGGTGGTTCCTGGGGACACTGTTCCTCAGGACCTCATCAGCTCTTGCCAGACGCTGGGGAAAGGGGAGGCCCCAAAGATTTCTGTTTCAGAGGCTGAGGGCAGGAGGAAAAGTCACAGCCCAACGGGAGGAGGTATTAGGCAGGAAGGAAAAGGGTCACTGTGGAGGGTGAGCTCTCTCAGGGGGAGGCCCCGCCCCATCTTTGCCCTCCCAGCCCCATGTGTACCCTGCCTCTTCAGGGCATGGCACCTGAGCAGCAGCTGCCGCACCTCCACCGCCTGGAGCCTCACAGGCAGCCTGCACCTTTGCATAGATGCGGGATCTGAGCACACACACATGCACTCCAGAGCTGGGCCAGGGCCACCGGCCACCACAGTCCCAGGGCCTGTCCCAGGGCTGAGTGGGGAGCTGCTCCCTCCACTGACAAGAAGAAAAGCCCATCGAAGGCCCCAGGAGAGCCCCCGAAAGAGAGGACCCTCAACACTGTGGGCCAGGGCCCTCGTGACCCACACCGGTGGTCTCAGGCCAGAACAGGAGTAGACGGCCGCTGCTGGCTACACTCACCTCCTCCACAGGCCTCAGGCCCAACCACAGCCCAGTCCTCCACAGGTGGCTTCTCTAGCAGCAGAGACAGAGTAGACTGTGGCCCCAGCCCTGTCACATCCACCAAAACACAAGACACAATAGGAAGGCCACAGACGCAAGACACAGACAGGAGCAGAGGGGCCTGAAGCTTGACTAAATTCCAGTGGTGAAAAATAGAGAGATTTTATGTTGTCAAATATAGTTCATACATTTCTTTTCTCGGCAAAGCTTTGACTATGTCTGAGGAGACTACGCAGCTCCGTGAGTGCGCGGCACAGGAGGCTGGGTCCGCAGCCAGTCCCGGCTTGGCTTTGGATTGGTTTTGTCCACTGCCCCCTCCGTGGCATGGCCACAGTGTCCTGCGGGGGCAGCCCCAGCCAGGCCTCAGGCATCTGGGTTTGGTTTGGCTGGGCTGGGGCTTATTCCACAAAGGTTGGCTGGTCTGAGGCCCTGACCAAGGCGGGGGGAGCTTTGGAGGCACAAAGCGTGTGGCAGAGGGGGCTCCTGCCCCGAGGGCTGGGCCAGCCGCCCCCTCCCAGTGCATGCAGGTGCCCCGCCTCACGTGGAGGGCACCGAGCAGAAGGGCAGAGCCCATGAGTTAGGCAATGGCTGTTGGAGCATTGGGGTGAGGGCAAGCAACCTTGGCAGATAACCAGAGTGGCCCTTAGGCCAGAGGGGCGAGTAAGACACAGGGTCCCTCCAACCCCCAGAGGTGGGGCCTAGCCTCTGAAGAGTGGGTGGGACAACCAGATGGGTGTAACCCCTGTGGGGGAAAAGGAGTGAGTTTACTTGGTAAAATAATAATGGTAATGTCAGCAGCGTGGCTGGGGGACTCAGTATGGTCCCGGGAAAAGAGTTGGGGCAGTGAACTTCCCAGGCCGACTGGCCTTGGGCTGGGAGCAGGGAGGCTGCAGGGCGCCTACCTGCTCTGCCACGCCCCTGCCTAGGAAACCTATCCCAGGACACCCTGCTTTGGCCTGGATGAACATCGTGGCTTCAGTACGCGCCATCCTGCGATTCATCCTGCCAGAATACCCCACCCTCCTCCAGAGGCAGAGAGGTTTAAGGTTTAGGAACCCTCATCTCAGACAGCAAGCAGCCACCTCACTGGAGACCCTTGGATGGCTGAGAACCAACCCCAAAGTGAACATAGTGCAAAGCAGAAGTTGGGCCCGAGGGCCCCAGAGAAACTCGGGGCAAGTTTCTGGGGGCAGTCATGGCCTCTGGCTTTTTCAGTAAGCTGTGGGTTCCTGAGTCCAGCCCTGCCTCCCAGCCTGCAGATGAGATGGCCTCACCTTGGAAGGCTGGGGGAGCCCCCTTGGGTTTCTGCCCCTGCCTCCTCTTCTTGTGCTGGTGGATTCTCCAGCTGGGAGCTGGGACTCAGGCAGGCCCTCCTACCCCAGCACTGAGCTTGCCGGGCTTAGCTACCTCACAGGAATAATGACTGACACACCCAGAAGTGCCAAGAGGAAAGGGATGACGGGAAAGCCTGGGATGAACAGACAGACACAGAACCCACACTGCCCTCCGCCACCTTGCGCCCAGCCCCGTCTCTCCTCCAGCCTGTGGCCTTGACTGAGCTCCTGAGTCCCAAGGTGGGCAGCAGTCTGGGGAGGCTGGAATGCCGGCCGGCCCAGTGGTTCTGGCCTCTGCTCTGAGCCCTGGGTCAGTGATCTGCACTTCAGGCCATGGCTGCCTCCATTTGAGGAGAGAGCACTGGCCCAGGAGCCTGGGCTGCGGGCAAGGTGGCTTGGAAGAGACGGCATGGAGTGCGCAGGGCACTGGACAGGATGGTGCAGGGCAGGGGCCTATGGGCAACTCAAGCCCGGCTTCCCCACATGAAGACAGCCAGAGACTTCCTGAGCAGGGCTGGCCCTGTCTGAAGAGCCAAGGGGACAGAGGGGCCGGGTTGGCCCTCGCTCCCTCCCCTCCCTGCAATTTGTCCAGCTGGTGTACCTCCTGCCTTGGGTCCCCCTTCCCTGCTCTCCATCGAAGCTTTGGGATGCCTTTCTCCAACCCCTGCTCCTTCCACGGGACTGTTTTAACATCTTGAAAAAAAGAAACAGTTCCACACCCAAAACTAAATAAATAAGATGATGCCCATGGGAGAAGGGAGGGGGGAACGGCATCCCTACAATCAGTGGTCAGGCCGCAGGCGCCGCTGCCAGAATGGGCCCCCTCAGAGCTGGGAGCCGCCGCCCGCTGGGCTGGGACTCGGCTGGCTCAGCGAGCGGCAGCTGATCCTGCGGATGGAGTGCAAGGCCACAGTGCAGCAGCCCCGCAGCAGGGAGCTGATGTTGTAGATGGGCTGGCCCTGGCGCCGCTGGGAGCGGCAAAGCCAGGCCACCGTGGGCACGGCCGGCACCACCACAGCCAGCAGATCCACGATGTAGTGGCGGCTCCAGTAGCTCTTGGGCTCCTTCTCAGCCACGGCAGCCTCCTCCTCCTCTTCCATGGGGCACACCACGCTCACCGACTGGCCAGGGTTGGGGTTGGCACCAGGCCGCTGTGGGGTGGGTCCACGGGTGATGGGCTCTGGGGCCTCTAGCTCATCACCCACTGTCACCACCACTGCTGAGTTGGGGTCTCTGGGCCCTGAAGGGTGGGCATCCAGCTCTGGGCACCTGTCCCCTGACTCAGGGTCTGTCCCACAGACCTGGGCCTGGGTCACTTTCTCCAGGATGGTGTCAAGGTCAGGCTGGTACTGCACGAAGTCTGTCTGGATGGCACGCTCCTGCATGCAGCTGGCCTGCACACCAGCCTCCATGCCACACAGCAGCTTCTCATAGGTGTTGCTGGCAGGGAAGCGGGGGCCCAGGCCGAAGGAGCTGTGCAGCGAGGTCTCCTCGGTGCCACAGTCCACCCCCGACGACAGCAGGCTGCTGGCTTCCAGCGCGTCCGTCCGGCTCAGTGTGTCATCGGCTGCTGCAAAGCCACTGTCTGCCCCATCCTCAGCAGAGCCGCTGGAGGGATCACCCGGCTGGCGGTCACCACAGACAGCCGGGTCACTCAGCTTGGTGTAGGTGGAGCTGCGGGTGAGGGAGCGGGCAGGGGACCCACCGGCTGACTCCCCAGTGCCATCCTCCTTGGCCATGCCATTCTGGGCCACCTCCATGCTGTGCAGCAGCGTCTCCAGCTTCTTGTTCTGGATGTTGATGTCCACGAAGTACTTCTGCAGCCCCTTGTCCTTGTCAATCAGGTTGTTCTTGACAGTGTCGATGACCTGCTTGAGCTGCTTGATCTCCTTTCGGGCCTCCTTCAGGGCCAGCTGGGCCTCCACGCGGTGGCACTCCTCCTCAATCCAGTCCTCCTGCATGCGTGACAGCTGCGTCTTCAGGTCATCAATCTCTGTGTCCCTGCGAGCCGAGGAGACACACACACGCTCACTGCCTGCCTGCCTGGTCTGTCACCGCCAAGGAGAGGCAGGGAGAGGACACTGTTGCCAAGGATGAAGGGCCCTGTGCTGCTGTGGCTCAGAACCCAAAACAGAAGGACAAACTCAATGCCTTCTTATTATAGTGGGGAGTGAGAGTGGCTGGGGAGAGGGGCTGAGGGGTGAAGACAGGAGAAGCCTCTGCCTGGAGAGAGAAGAAAGGTTGGGAGGAGACACCACTCGCATTCCCTCCCCCACCCCACCACCCCCAGAATGCCGACAACTCTCAACATTCAAATCCATCATCTAGAGAAGAGACTAGACAACAAAGATGCTCATAAGTTTTATAGCTACTGCTATAAAAACCTAATAAAATCTTAATGTGAAACAACAAAAACTAGGCAGGAAATCTCTGCTCTATAGAAAGTGATGTAGCCTCCTACTACCTACTAAAGCAGGTTGCAGAAAGTTTCAGTGGAGGAATATTTGGCCAGAGACCCCAGGGGAGAGAAATGACAGCTTTCAATGTTGGGGGAGGCTGATGATTTTACATCATCCCTCATGCAGAGCGATGAGAAGTGGTGGGTGGAACGGGAGAGTGATAAGAACAGGGTGGCTCTCATCTATCCATGCTAGAAGCTTCTTTGTATCTTTGTATCTCCTTGTATCTTGTATCTTAAAGAGGAAAAGCTGAAAAGATCAACGAGAAAGGCATAGAGTTACTCCTGAGCGACGGGGGCAAGCACCAGGTGAACAAGATAGTCGGCAGACTCTTGTCCAGAAATGCTCAGGCTTTTCAAATTCCCGAGTCACAGATGAATCCAGGGGTGCAAGGGGAGGGAGGTAAGTTAGAAAAATATGCCATCAGGTCTAGAGGTAAAACCAGAGTGAGACAGAATGGCGACTGATTAACACCAGTGAGGAAGAAGGAAAATCATCCAGGAGACGTCAAACCCTGTCCTGGGCATTTTCGCTCACTTCCTAGTGGCAGCCCACATGAGCCCCCTCAGCCTAAACCCTACATTCCCATCCGTAAAATCTACAAATGCCGTGCCTGTCACTCTGGGGTTCATCAGCCCAGCAGAATGACCGTCCCAGATCAAGCACCATATACTTTTCAAAGCCAGATCAGAATTTTCCTTCAGGAAATGGGCCCAGGAATCTCATTCCACAATACGCTGGAGGGACTGGGGGCTGAGGGGATGCAGTGGCCATAAAGGTCAGCAATGGTGTCACCTAGAAGGGGCCCATCCACCCATCAGGACACAGCTGGAGCTGCTTAGAGTGCCAATAACAGACAAGGCAACAGGTACTGAGGGGCAGGAGATACTTGGCCTTCACCCTTCCTGCCTCCAGGTGGGGGGCCCACTCTAGGTAACCCTTTTGGCCTCTCACCCTGCTCCTCACTCACACCTCACCCTGGGAGAAAGAGTGAGTTTGAAAGAAGGAACTGGGCATGATCTGCTCAGCCAGTCTCTGCCTCTCTCTCCTTGGGGCCCAGCCAAACCCCAGGGAGCCATGGCTTCGAGCCCTGTCCACGCCTCAGTGGGCATCACATCTGAAGTGCGTCTTGAAGGGTAAGTCTGCCCAGGGAGCAAGATAGAAGGCAGGGCATCTCAAGTAGTGGGGACACAGATACGAAAGCACAGAGGTGCAAAAGCCATGGTGTCTTTGAGGAACAGAAGGTGGGCCACTGCAGGAAGCACAGGCATGAAACTCCATATGGAGAGAGTGTGGGGAGAGTGACAGTATTTCATGTAAAGACCTGCAATGGGTTCCTGTGGGAGTAACAGGCAGACAGTGACCAGGGAGTCAAGGTGTTAGCACACCTACACCAGGGCATCCTGCCCAAACCACACAGGGCAGATGGTCTGCTCTAAGCCATGGGGCTGGCCCTAGAAATGAAGCTGGGAGATGGGCCATCTGCTCCCTGAGGCATTAGTGCAAAAGGCCACGCAGATCCTGGGCATCATTGGGAAGATGAGGGAAAATAAAAATAGAAATCCTCCCTCTGCCGACAATGAAGCTCGCTGAATGCTACCCGTAACCGCCTGTAGTTTAAAACCACAACAAATCCAAACCGGATTGGCTGCTTGGCAGAGCTGTGGTCAAGAACGATGTGGTCATGCATACAGCGTGATCCCATTTATATGAAATGTCCAGAATAGACAAATCCATAGAGACAGAAAAATCAGTGGTTGCCAGGGACTATGGTGGTTGGAGAGAAACTGGCGGTGATTGCTAATGGGAATGGGGTTTATTTTGAGGTGATAGAAATATTGATGAAATTAGAAATTGGCGGTGATTGCTAATGGGAATGGGGTTTATTTTGAGGTGATAGAAATATTGATGAAATTAGAAATTGGCGGTGATTGCTAATGGGAATGGGGTTTATTTTGAGGTGATAGAAATATTGATGAAATTAGAAATTGGCGGTGATTGCTAATGGGAATGGGGTTTATTTTGAGGTGATAGAAATATTGATGAAATTAGAAACTGGCGGTGATTGCTAATGGGAATGGGGTTTATTTTGAGGTGATAGAAATATTGATGAAATTAGAAATTGGCGGTGATTGCTAATGGGAATGGGGTTTATTTTGAGGTGATAGAAATATTGATGAAATTAGAAACTGGCGGTGATTGCTAATGGGAATGGGGTTTATTTTGAGGTGATAGAAATATTGATGAAATTAGAAACTGGCGGTGATTGCTAATGGGAATGGGGTTTATTTTGAGGTGATAGAAATATTGATGAAATTAGAAATTGGCGGTGATTGCTAATGGGAATGGGGTTTATTTTGAGGTGATAGAAATATTGATGAAATTAGAAATTGGCGGTGATTGCTAATGGGAATGGGGTTTATTTTGAGGTGATAGAAATATTGATGAAATTAGAAATTGGCGGTGATTGCTAATGGGAATGGGGTTTATTTTGAGGTGATAGAAATATTGATGAAATTAGAAATTGGCGGTGATTGCTAATGGGAATGGGGTTTATTTTGAGGTGATAGAAATATTGATGAAATTAGAAATTGGCGGTGATTGCTAATGGGAATGGGGTTTATTTTGAGGTGATAGAAATATTGATGAAATTAGAAATTGGCGGTGATTGCTAATGGGAATGGGGTTTATTTTGAGGTGATAGAAATATTGATGAAATTAGAAATTGGCGGTGATTGCTAATGGGAATGGGGTTTATTTTGAGGTGATAGAAATATTTATGAAATTAGATAGTGGTAATGGTTGCAAAATTCTGTGACTAAACTAACAATCATCTAATTGTACACTTTTGATAGGTGAATTATATGGTATGTAAGTTACATTGCAATAAAGCTGCTGTATTAAAAAAAAAAAAGAAAGAAAAGAAAAAAGGAGCGATCATCGTGCCTGCTCTGAGCTCCAGCCCCACACAGCACCTTGGCCAGCTCACAATAGGCTGCATGTTTGCATAGACACAGTCCCGAGAAGGATAGTTAAGACAATGGGAGATCGACGCCCTGAAGTGTAGATCACAAAGATGAAGCCACTGGGCTTGGAGGGTAGAAGCTGGGAGGGTTGGGATTAAGCACTTGAGAATGAGCTCAGACGGCCTGCGGGGGCTCCTGGGAGACACCTGGGCTGGGGAGGAGCTCAGCAAAAGGCTTCTCATCATCATCCTCCACAGCAGGAAGTAGATGGCTTCTGGGGCCTGAAGTCGAGGTTGGCCACAAGCCCTCTGGTGACTCACTCAGGAGGAAGCGAGGAAGGATAAAGAGTTGTTTCTCCCCCAAAAGAGGCAAGTAAGTCAGAAAGAAGCCCTGTGCTCCAACTCCTGGAAGATGGGAGCCAGAGGAAAAGAAGCAGCCAAAGGAGCTGCCAGGCTGAAGCTGGGAAAGGACAGCACAGGCAGGAGGCCCCACAGGACAGGCCCTCATGGGAAACTGCTCCCGCCTGGCCCCCAACAGCCTCGTGGAGCAGTCAAGGTGAGTAGCTGCTGGGGATGAGGGTCTGCAAGTGGGCTCAAATGAGGCTTTGCTGGGAAGGAGAGAGCAGACGGATGCTGGGAGACCCCCAGCCACTCCTCCCTCCAAGAGGCACCCCAGAGCCCTGGTTTCCCTGAGTGTGGAGCTGGTGGGGTACCCCCAGGGCTGCTCGTGGCCACCCGCTCACCGGTCCTGGAGCCGGTCCTGTGTGTCCTTCAGCCGGGCTTTCAGGTGCCGGATGCACACCTCCTTCTGCTGCAGGGGGGTCAGGTACTGCTCCGGGGTCGGGGGCTTGATGCCATGGTTGTCACTGCACAGCGTGTATTTCATGGAGCGCCTGCAAGGGGACGCCCATCATCAGGGAGGGAGGAAGAGGTCAGGCAAGGCACAGGTGCTTTACCTCTGGGGAGCAAGGGGACACCAGCCTCACCATCCCTGGCCACCAGATGCTCCAAGCCAGGCCTCCCACACAAGGCAGGAGAACCCCCAGCCTTCTGGAAGGTGGGTTTTAGTAGAGTTCCTCTAAGTGAAGACCATCATGTCAGGAAGCGGGCTTCAGGGCTCCTCTAGTTAGGGCTGGGTGGGGAGATATATCCCAGAGCATATGTGTAAACCTGGAACCAGGCCAAGCACTTGACCAACGCCATCAATCCTTATAGCAGCCCTGAAGTAGGGACTGTCTTCATCTTTTAGAGGGGCCGCTGGCCTCAGAGAGGTTAGCTCTTGCCCCGAGCCCCTCAGACAATCCCGGTAGTGTGCCCCAGAACCCAGGTACCTCGTCTTCCAACCTGGAGAATGAGTTTGAAGGCTGGAAACTGAGGTGTAAGTGGCAGATGCTGGGTCTGCATGGCAGACAAGGACTCACCCCCACACAGCAGGATACATCTCCCAGGTGGAGGCAGAAGCTCTCCTCTCTAGAGCTGAGACCCCTCACAGCCTGGGGACAGGGAGGGCAGACACGCGCAGGCACAGCTGTCTCCATATACGCCCTGGCACTCTCACTCCTCACCCCCACTGCGTACACGTGGGTGAGCACTACATGCACGCACACTTCCTGGGATGTCAATTCCCAGTCCATTCACACCTGCATGCCCACATACATGGAGACACACTTGTGCCTCGCAGGTACTCACACATACTAGGGCACCAGCCCAGGCACATGTTCACACTTTCACCTCCGGGGGCACATGGGAGCACACACGTGAACACCTGCCGGCTCTGGGCAGGGACCTGTCCACTGCAGTACTCTGGGGTGGCAGCAGGCTGGAAGTGCACTGCTCCCAGCACAGGGCGGCACTGACATGGTGCCCTACCAGGGCAAAGGAGAAGGAATTTCCACCCAGAGGGCAGTCAGGTGCCAGTGGAGGAGGGAGGGCCAGGCTTTCACGGGGAAGGAGAATGCCCCAATTCCACAACAGACTATGGCCCAGCCAGCTCTATTCTCAGTGTCCTGGCTGCTGGTTGTTTTGCTCAAACAGAAACCTTGGATCTTGGCTTAAAACCTGGGCATGTATCTCGCGACTAGAGACTCAGGCCTTGTTGCCATCCAACTCTGCTCCTTGAGGGGAGAGTGACTGGCAGGTCTAGGGAGGGGCAATGTCCCTTTATGAGCCTGGAAAAGGCAGGCCCTGGTGAGGCCCATTTGCTGAAGCAGCCGAGCTGGAGGCAATTTTAAAAGTTCCATGGAAGCTGTATGGTGTTTACCGAGGAAAAAGTACTTGTAAGTCGTAAACTGTCAAAGAGAAAGTGGTGATAGAAGTGGAATGAGAAGTGGTTTTCTTCTATGTACTCACGTCATGGCCCCTAGGTCAACTCAAGCCAAGTCACGCAGGTCTCCTCTCTGCTTGGCAAGGGGCGGAGGAGTCACCCCTTGGCAAGGGGTGGTAGGAGTGGGGGACCCAAGGTTAGCTAAACTAGTAAGGATTGAGGATTAGAGAGGAAGTAACTATTTTACATTCTTTTCATTTTGCTTTCATGAATATTTTCCCCGATATAAAATTTAACACGTGTACATTTTTAGTCACTAGCTCTTTGTAAAAAAAAAAATATGTATACACACACACACACACACACACACACACACACACACACACAAATTAGAAAAAAAATACGCTGTGACGCATGTTTCTCAGCTGTTCCTGCCTTGGAAAGCCTGGCTATTTGCAGAGGGGACCTAACTGTGGCCCCACTGCTCACCCAGGGGCAGCAACCCTTGTTGTGGGGAAGAAGACCCTTTGCTGGGAGCAATTCTCAGCCCTGGGGTTGGGATCACCTCCATGGGCTGCAGTTACGAGGTGTGTTACAAAATCTGTTACTAATAGAAAAGATTAAAGTTGCCAATTATATAGTTTTCAAAATGTAAATTAATGCTTTACTCCTATGTCCCCCAGTCTCTGGGGTGGTGTTACAGCCAGGATGCTGGGGCATGAGTCCTGCACATGGGTGTTACCCATCATGTGTGTCACGATAGAAATCTAACAGCTGCTGTTTCAGTGGCTCTGGACATCGCTTCACACAAATGACATCCTCTCCACTGAGTCCTCCCAGGAGGTGCTCCAGCCATGGGAGCCACAGGCTGGGCATCTCCTGGCCTTAAGTCAGATCAAAGCTCTAACAACAGGAGGTATCAGTTATTGGCCAACTAGGATGCACAGGCGGTGTGTAGATATCAAGTCACCGAAGCTTCCGAGTTATTAGCTCCACTTTAAAGAAAGGAAATGGAGGCTCAAGACAGGAAGAGACCAAATCCAGAGCCTATGCTCGTTCCCTACACGCCCCAACCTCCCACTTGTATTTCAATGCTGGGGAAGCAGGACAAGGCCTACCATGACAGCTCTTCCTTCCTGGTCTTCAAGGACCTACAGCTCCCCTACACCTGCTTCTCCAACATGATCCTGCTTTGTGAGTCCGAGTTCACCTCACTCAAGACTACAACTTGGCATCTGCTGCATTCGTAACATTTCGCCTTCCAAGCCAGTTCCACCTCTGCCACTCTCAAAGTGTTCCCCTGAGAAGTGCATGATGGTAGACACTGCAGGCTGCTTCCCAATACTCATCTTGCTTTCTTCCTAGCGGAACCCCCATTTTGTCTGGGGTGGTACTGTTGTGGGGAAGACACTAACTGGCCCTGCAGCTAGAGTTATTCACATGACCCAGTTCTGGCCAGCAAGAACTGGCAGGATTTGGGGGCAAGCTGTCCCTCTCAGAAAAACAATCTCTGAGAAGGGCTTTGGTCCTTTCCACCTGTTCCTTCCTGGAGGGCAGGCCTGATGCCTGGAGGTACAGAAGCCACCTGTGATGACAAAGACAAAAGCTGTACACCAAGGATGGTGGAGCAGCGGGAGAAGACACAGGGTCCCTGACACTTCAGGGAGCTGCTGACCCCTGGCTCCTTGTTCTGCAAGTATCACCCCTAGTTTGTTTAGGCCACTGTATTTTTTTATGTCCAGCTGTATATTATCATATCCATCTTACAGACAGGAACTGAGGCTCAGAAAGGAGAAATGATCTGCTCAAGGTCACACGGCCAGCGGCTATGCTGGCGTCAGGGGTGGTTAGAACACGACCCTGCTCCCTTACCTCTCCCACCCCAGGACAACCTGTTCCCAGCCAGCAGGGCCAGGCCCAGAGAGGAGGGGCCAATTACCTTGGCGTGGGACTGCTGTCACTGCCCTTGTAGGAGCCAGAATTGCTGCTGCTGCTGAGCGAAGAGGTGCCGTAGGCATCCCGCACGCTCACAGGTGGAGAGGTGCGCCTGGAGGCAGGAAGAAGAGGCAGGTGCTCGTTCTGGCTGGCGGGCAGCTGCGGACACTGGGCGAACACTGCCAGGCCGCTGCGGCCCAAAGTGCCCCCGCTTTGGGGTCACCACAGGGGAGAGAAGCAGGGAGAGAGAGACGCACAGACAGGGGTGACAGAACAGACAGTGCAAATCAAGATGGAAAACCAGAAGAAGGCTGGTCCTCCTGGCTCCCCAGGGACAAGAATGGGGGCCGGCAGGGCTGCAGGGCAAGGGTGGGGCCTCATATGCTCTTATCAAGGTCCTCAACTTCTGGGGTTCCCCAAACCCAGGAGAGGAGATCCCTGCATAGACTGAGACAGAGGTGGAGAAGAATGGGGCAGACAGGGGTGGGGACAGGAGGAGGAGCCTCGGGGGTAAAAACCAAGGGACACCAAGTGAGTCTGAGTGGATGACTGCACGATTCCCCTCCAGTCGTTGTGAAAATCAAACAATATTGATGAGGCTACTGCTGGTAGGAATCCAGTGGTTTACACCTTCCGAGAACTCTCACATCCACTGTGTCATTTGAGCCATTAAATAGTTCCAGGAGGAGGCAGGTGTTAGCAAGCTCATTTTAAAGATGGGAATGGGAAATGATTTGCTCAAACACATACTGCAAGTTGGTGGCAGGTAGAGAGAGGCCCGTGCGCCCTCCTCCCGCCCTCCGAAGCCTAGGCTGTGAGCGAGGGGGAGACTCACCTGCGTGATCCAGCAGAGGTCCGTCTACTTCCTGGCAGGGACATGGCCATGAGGCTGTGGGTCCGAGTAAGGGGTGGGATGGGCGGTATCCCGGGGGCTGAGGAGAGAGGGCGGGTTGGGGGGCCCGCAGAAAGGGCCGGGCCAGGCCACGTCATCCTCTCGCTGGGGCCGCTGCCCGGCATGGCTTCTCTTCTCACCCTTCGGCAGGACACCCCAGGAGCGAGGGCCTGGCAGACCACGGCTGCCTCCACCAGTGAATTGAATAGGGCTGGTGCACAGGTTCCCACCACCCAACTTAAAACCACAACTGTCAGGAGTGGCTAAAAGTAATCAGTCCAACCCTGTGTTCTCCAGATGAGTGAATGTGCCCCAGACAGAGTGAAGGCCGTGCCCAAGGTCACAGAGGCTTCAGGAGCAGGGCCTCCTGACTGCCGGCACCGAGTCTTCTACTCTACGAGCCAGGCCTGCTTCTTCCCCAGGACCCTGATACTCAGACCCACACACCCCCTTGCTGTTCAGTCCTCCCTCTCTGGTAGGGGCTGCAGGCTGTAGGACTCCTGGAGCAGGACCAGGAACCCCAAATTAGGATGGGCTGGTCTCGCCGACCATCAACTTCCCAGTTGGCCCGTGGTTCGGGGCTTCCCGTCTACAGGGGAGACAAGACAGACCAACGTACCAGCACATGTGTAGAAAGACATACGGATACACACCAACACGAGAAGGTACCATGTCCCTGCCATTCCAAGACATGCCACACGCGTCTCCATGAACGTGCTCAGGCAGCCAGCCCATGACGCAGGACATGCAGCCAGGTCCTCCCGCACCCATGCGGCACACAGGCATGTCCGCACCCACCCATGTAATGCGCATGCTGGTTTTGGCATCTACCAGGAATGTAGGGGCACAGACTTAAAGCAGATGAGCACTGGGGTGGGTGGGAGCAGAGGCCCTCCGCTGGGGGTGTCCCAGTGGGTGGACCCAGGAGGAAGCGTTCGTGCCTAGAGAGACCCATCACTGGGCCTCTTGCTAAGTGGGCAGGTAGACTCAAGCCCCTGGTTCCTGCCCCCGAGTCCTTAGGCTTCTTTCCTGGGTAGAGGCTTGGGTTCCAAGGGCAGCCTTTCCAGGATTTAAGGAGGGGAGAGGCCCCATGCTGGGCTGGATTTTGGCTGTCGTGAGGAGGGCTATACTGGGTATTAGCCCAAAGTTACCGGAGTCTGGGGCAGAGTGGGGAACCTGGGCTCTTTGCAGCCAATGTGCTGGTCCTGTGCCAGCTCCAGAGACCTCAGTCCCCTCCTTCCACATTAACAGCAGGGACTGAGGACAGCAGCCTGGGTTACAGGAGACTTGGCTGAGGATGTCATGCCTGGACCTCTCCCCATGCTGGAGGGAAGCATTCACCGAGCCCCACGCCACACCAGACCTCGTGCCAACCACGCTACGTACATTATGCCATTGACTCCTCTCAACAACCCTATGAGGAAGTGCTGTGATTAGTCCCCTTTTACAGATGAGGAATCGAGCCACCGAGAGGGAAGGGACTTGGCCAAGTCACATCCCAGGTGTGTGGCAGAGCCAATATCGAAACCAGGTCAACATCAGATGCTGAGGGGCTGGATCTCAAACCCCAGAGTCTCTGGCCCGGGGACCACCCCCTTCCCATGTCAGGGCCTCCCCGGAGCCTGGTCATCCCAGCCAGCGGCGGGGCTGCCTCCTGAGTGGACAAAGGCACTACTCAGATGGCCTGTTTCCTGGCGGGGACATAGAACACAGCCTGTTCCCCTGGAGGGTCTGGACACAGCCAGCATTGTCTGCCTGGAGGTGTCGGGTGCTGGGCTGCAGGACCTGCCGACACCACACCTGTCACCTGAGCTTCTTGCCCCAGCTTGGCAATGCTTCCCACTCATTATGCCCCAGTCACCCAGGCAGGGCCTCCTGGAACTGTAGGGCTGGCCCCTAGAGCAGGAACCATGGAGGAGGGGCGATTTGGGGGTAAGAGGACATCAGTGCTCCTCCATGCTTGTGAGGATGGCCATAAATGGCTCACTGCCTCCTGGGCACAGGAGGATCTTGACCAGGAACAGCTTAGGGTGCAGAGGGGCACATGGGCAAGGGCTCCAAGGATCACCTGCCATTGCCTGAATCCTTCAGTGGTAAGGTGGCCATGCTGAGTGCTCTCGTCTGCCTTGGCCCATTACTTGAAGCAGCAATCCTTCAAGGCCGGCTTTGTTACTGCATTTGGGCCCAAGGTCACACAGCTGCAGGTGTGACATGCTCTGGCTTCTGGCCCAGGTCGGCCTGGCTTCACCAACAACTTTCCCACCATCATCCCTGCCCTTCTGGCTTTTGGGAGGATGCAAAAAGGAGGCTGAGCCTTCAGGAGGACTTTCCAGCAGAGGCAGGACTCAGATCTGAGGATGGGCTCTTCCAAGCCAGTGTGAGTGAGTGTTCTAAGGAGCCAGGAAAGTCCAGGCAGAGTGCTAGGCCCAGTCCTGGGAGGCAGGCAAAATGCCTGGTTTGTCTTGGAGCTGCGTGTGGCCTTGCTACAATGAGGGCCTTGTCCCAGCTGTCCCTGCCACTATCTTGCTTGGCTACCCCACACCTGCCTCCTCTTGAGTTCCCTCTTCCTTCCTCCCTGGCCTGGGGGAGGGAAGGGGGTGGCACTTGTACCTGCGTATAGCTAACAGTCTCCTGGGCACCCAGAGCCAGGTATTCATTAGGGACAAAGGTGGAAGACGCATTTCCCCTGCTGGGATGGGACCTTGCAGGCAGGGTCCCTCATGGGAGGGCAGAAGCCACCCAGGCCCAAAGGGAGCCACCTCTCAGGATCCTACTCAGAAAACTCAGTGTGCATCCTGTGCTCTCTCAGGTCCTCCCTCCCTTCTAGGCCCTAGCAAGGAGGCAGGTTGCCATGGTGTTTGTCACCATGCCACCTGCTTAGCCTGGAGTCCCGCAGGCCTCTCCCCAGGTGGCCAGAGGCTGCCACTTGGAAAGGAAGGTAGAAAGAAAACCCTTAACTGTGGGAAGCTGGGCTGATAGTCTCTCATCACTTTAACCCCAGAGTAAACCCAGCCCCTGCCCTCACTGAACTTCCCTCCACTTCCCCATCTTGTCCACACCATAGCAACCCTGCTGCATCCACTCCTTTGACTGCTCCCTCAAATGCTCAACACTTCCTAACCCCCCCGACAATGGGGGTCCAGGGAGCATGAGACTAATGACTGCAGAAGTCAATATGAACTGATCTGGGCTCAAATGCCAGCTCTGGCACCCTTCAGCTGCATGCCTTGGGCAAGTCACCCACTTCTCTGAGCCTCACTGCCCATATCTGTAATAACTGGGGCTCTAATGAATGCACCTCATATGGTTACTGTGAGAATAACATAAAATAATGTGAGTATGGGGCTTAGGTCAGTGCCTATCACACAATAAACACTAAAACATGGGGGCAGCCAGTATTTTGGAAGTAACATGAAGTGAGCTTCAAAACAGAAACACATTCAAGCCATAATAGTGTCTTCAGGAGGATCCAGGAACGCTTCTCTACACAAGAAATTTGCACTGGGTCTTGAGGGATGAATAAGAGTTCACCAGGTGGCAGCAGAAAATGGGAGGGAAGGAGAAGTCTGGACACAGGCAGTGAGTGACAGCTGGCTGCTCAGAAACTAGGGAGCCTGTTGAGGGCAGAAGTACAGTGGGAGTGAGGCTGCAGAAGGAGGGGGGCAGGCCACACAGAGCCACTTAAGCCAGGATCTTGTCCTGTGGGCAACAGGAAGCCATGCAAGTGCTTTATAGGAAAGGGGCACAATCATATTTGCATTTTAGAAAGTTCCTGATAAGGAGCCTGTGTGGAGAGGGAGGGATACCAGATACCAGTTAGGAGGTTACCAACCAGGGGAGAAATTAGGAGGGCCTGGGCCAGGGTCATGGCAGGAACAATGGAGAAAAGGGCCTGGACCCTGTTCAAAATTCCTTGGAAGTCCCAGATTAGGTAAAAATCAGAGCAAAGCTCTTGATGTGGGTGCTTAAGGCCCTCTCATCTACAACCTTTCCAACTGGCTCTCTGATACATCCAGGAGACCTCGGCTAGTCACTCCCAAATCTGCATCTCTACATGGGCTGTTTGTCCCATCTGCAGCATCTTCCCTGCCTGTCCTCAGGCATACATTGCACTCTTTCTTTAGGTCCCACCCACAGCCTTTCCACCAGTGACTTCTCCTATCACTTACTGTCTTGACCACTTAGGATGCTATGCCTTAGACTAAAACTCAGGGAACACCATCCCCTGGGAAACTTCATAAAAACAAACACAATCAACACACAACTGTTGGTAATACAATGGTTTAAACAAGCACATTGAATAGACCAAAGAGTCAGATTAGATGGTCTCTAAGGTGCTCTGGATCTAACATTCTCTAATTCTAGAGCTGTCAATGAAATTATGGGCTTCTAATTGATGCTTCTTTCTCCTTCATTACTAGGACTTTCGGGTCTCAGTTTCCACATATGTAAAATTAGGAAGCTCCATTCTTCAAAGAGACATGATAGCATTTTCCCCAATCAACAGTCATGGGGGAAAAACCAGGTGCTTGGGTTAATCTAATATTCCAGCTAAGCAAAAGTCCCTGTATGTACTATAATTTATCTTCTTTCAAAGAATTAGCCATTGATACAAGAAGAAAGCTATCCTAAAATCCGAGGGAACAGAACAATCTGTGTCTGATGACTCAAACCACTGACAGCTGTGGAAAGCAGAGCATTGCAATCAACAGAGCAGAACTTGGGAGGGATCCTCTCTTTGCCAAGGTAACACTAGAACGCAGAACATTCCACCCATCAGACAGCAGAGTGCCTGGTGCTCCTAGAATGCTAATGCAGAGAGGTGGGAATAGAAGACAGGCCTGGGAGTGTTCCAGCAGCCACACTCTAGATCTCAGAAGATTAGCACTACCAGGGCTATTCACAGCTGAGGAGTTCAGTAAACCCTGCACTGGCTATGGCCTCATCAGCCACTATGTGCCTCTGCTCCTCCTTTGTCAACAAAACCTAGGATCTTCCTTCCAGGACTTGCTGGCATTTCTCCAGCTTGCTTCCTGTTTCCCACACAAGCCACCCTCAAAGCTGGGACCACACATGAGGCGCCATCCGACTTCTTCTCACTGTTGTGGCAACCCCAACACAGCGGCAAGGCAGACCCACAACTTGGCCAAATGCTGTGAGAAGCTTCCCCAGGCAACCAGCATAGGTTGAGGGCTGAGGCAGCTGCTACACAGGATGTGTCTCCAGTGATTAGACTCAGATTCCAGAGCTGAAGGGCATCAAGCCTAGGTCTTCAAACCACCCAAGAGGACTTGCCTCTGCACCTACTGGGAGGGGTGGCTTGGGCCTCCTCCCCCATTTCACCTGAAGAGGCTCCTCTCGTATGTGTTTTACATATGGAAGGTGTGAAGTAAGACTACTTTTTAAAAAGGATTTTTCAGGTTAAAAATCTATGGAATACTTATTTTCCACAATGAGATATTGTTTCACATTCACTAGGATGGCTAGCATAAAAAAGATGGACAATAACAAGCGTTGTCAAGGATGTGGAGAAGTTGGAACTCTCATGTATTGCTGGTGGGGATGTAAAATGACGCTGCTGCTATGGAAAACAGTTTGGTGGTTCCTCGAAAAGTTAAACATAGAATTGCCATAAGAACCAGCAATTCCACTGCTAGGTATATACCCCAAAGAATGGAAAATAGATGCTCAAACAAAAACTTGTATAAGAAGTGTACTTCACAGTAGCACTATTCTTAATAGCTAAGAGGTGGAAATAACCCAAATGTCCACCAATAGAAGAATGGATAAACAAAATGTGATGCGTCTATGCAATGGAATATTTAGCTATAAAAGGAATGAAGTATTACTGATCCATGCTACAACACAGATGAACCTTGACAACATTATGCTAAATGAAAGAAGCCAGATACGAAAGGCCGCATATTGCATGATTCCATTTATATGAAATATCCAGCACAGGCAAATGCACACAGACAGAAAACACACTGGAAGGGAAGAAGGAACAGGGAATGACTGGTAATGGGAATGGAGTTTCTTTTTTGGGAAGATAAAAAACGTTTTAGAAGTAGCTAGTGGTGATGGTTATATAATTTTGTGAGTATCCTAAAATCCCTGAATTGTACATTTTAAAAACTTAATTTTTTTTTTTTTGAGACAGAGTCTCACTGTGTCGCCCAGGCTAGAGTGCAGTGGCACGATCTCAGCTCACTGCAACCTCCGCCTCCCGGGTTCAAGTGATTCTCATGACTCACCCTATCGAGTAGCTGGGATTACAGGCACGCACAACCACACCTGGCTAATTTTTGTATATTTTAGTAGAGATGGGGTTTCTCCATATTGGCCAGGTTGGTCTTGAACCCCTGGCCTCAAGCAATCCACCCACCTTGGCCTCCCTGCTCCCAAAGTGCTGGGATTACAGGTGTGAGCCACTGCATCTGGCTATTAAAAGGATAAATTTTATGGAATGTAAATTATATCTCAATAAAAAACAAATTTTTAAAAATACATGTGATATATATTTAATTTTTTTTTAGAGCCAGGGTCTTACTCTGTCACCTAGGCTTGGAGTGCAGTGACAAAATCATAGCTCACTGCAGCCTCAAACTCCTGAGCTCATGCGATCCTTCTGCCTCAGCCTTTCCAGTAGCCACCTCACCTGGCTAATCTATTTTTTACTTTTTTTAAAGGTGGGGTCTCACTATGTTGCTCTTGGTGGTCTCAATCTCCTGGCCTCAAGCCATCCACCAGCGTCACCTCCTGAGTTGCTGGGATTACAGGTGTGAGCCACCATGCCCCTGACTCCATTGTGTGTGTGTGTGTGTGTGTGTGTGTGTGTGTGTGTGTGTGTGTATTTAAATGAACCGTTGCATTAATAAAAAGACAGGCATGGTCCAGAAAGGGGTAGAGACTCTTCCAGAATGGCTCAGCAAGTTGCAGCAGAAGGGGAGCAAGAGCCAGTGCCCCCCCTCTACCTGACTTCAGGTAGCTGGGCCCAGGATGCTTCCCTAGACTTTGGGTCAGCCTGGAGGAGACTGGTAGCTGAGGCTGCCCCTAAAGCTCTTGCATATTCACAACTTCGTTGAATCCTCACACAAATTCCCCATAGAGGGAGGCCAGGTAGAGACTAGTCCATCTGATCTATGGGAAACCTGAAGCCTCAGAGGTTACAAGAGTCACCAAGGGCTGGACCCTGGATTTCCAGGTCATGGGCACCTGCATTTCTACTGCATCATGAAGGTCTCATAATACAGTAGACCTGGGACACTTATCATTCTGCTGCATAAAAGAAAAAACCTACTTTTCCATGAGACTCTAAGATACCACAATGGAGATGAGCAGGTATATACCTGCATTTTGGGCTGGTCATACTTCCATAAAAGCAGGGCATCACAGACATAAGAGGTAAGCATACTACAGAGAGTCGTTTAAAAAGAAATTCTTGGCCAGACACGGTGGCTCACACCTGTAATCCCAGCACTTTGGGAGGCCGAGGTGGGCGGATCACCTGAGGTCAGGATTTCAAGACCAGCCTGGCCAACATGGCAAAAACCTGTCTCTATTAAAAATAGAAAAATTAGCTGGACGAGGTGGTGGGTGCCTGTAATCTCAGTTACTCGGGATGCTGAGACAGGAGAATATCTTGAGCCTGGGAGGCAGAGGTTGTAGTCAGCCGAGATCACGACATTGCACTCCAGCCTGGGCGACAGAGTGGAGACTCCATCTCAAAAAAAAAAAGAAAAAAAGAAAAAGAAATTCCTCATGTGCCTTCTCCCTAACTAGTGACTTTCCCTGTTCCTCTAAGAATCAGCCTCGCAGGCAAAGGAGAAGCCCTTTCCATGAGGAGCACTGCTCTTTCCTCTTCCAACAACTGCTGCGTCCCACCCAGCAGCCCAGCTGCTGTGCAAGCCCACCACTGAGAGACCCTCAGCTCCTCTGAGCCATATCACATCGTCCATCTTGGTGACCTTGGGTCTTTGACCTCTGTTCGTCTCAGCTGTCTCATGCATTCACTCAGGAAGGCGCCACCTTCCTGGCCCTGCTGTCTCTTTGGGATCCAACCAAGGTAATGAATGGAGGGATGGGGGTAGTTCTTGGGAAATTAGAGGACTGAACATTTCTTGCTATCACTATTACCTGTCGAAGGAGATCTCTCTTTTTCCCTTCTTCAGAAATAATTCTTGCTTTATCACCTCAGCGGACATCAGCAGGCCCAGGCATGAGTGACTCTGAAATGACTGGCAAACTCTGCTAGGCCAAGTGACCTGGGCTGGCTTTCCAGGGCAATGTCTGGCAGGCCTCCCGTCTGGGTAGGGAGTAGTAGGGGGAACACTGGTTCCCATGCTTCCACCATCCCAGCTGCTCCACGGCTGCCCCTCTGCAGACACCCATGGAGAAATGTGAGGAACGGAGGGGCAGTGGTGCCAGCCCCAGCTTGGTGGCTGCCTGGCTAGTGGCTCCTGGCAGATGGAGGCCCTTCAGCAACCTTGGCCACAGCATATGCTTCCCTGGGCTTCCTGACTGATAGAGCTGTCAAGCCTCAGTCCGGCTTCTCTCCCTTCCCCCTTCTCCCAAGCTTCCAACTCTAAAGCATCACAGGATGAGGAAAATGGTGAGACTTCCATCCCTAAAAATTCTCATTTTTTCCAGATTTCTGCCTTGATTCTTTGGATCCTGGATGTAAGATTAGGTAAATGCCTAATCCCCTGGCATTTACCCCAGGTACCAACAGGGACTAACACACTCTCAGAATCAGAATGGAAAGGATCTGGAGTAGACCTCATCACAACCTATCATTCTATAGAGAAAGAAACTGAAACCCAGAAAAAGCATGTTAGTTGCCTGAGGTTACCCAGAAAGTCAGGGACAGAGCCTGGGCTTGGGGCTAGACTCCTGAATCTATCAGTGAAGCTTCTGTACCACAACCCTTGCCCTCACCAGGGCAAAAATTAAGAAAAAAAAAAGAACAAAGGGAACCTTTTCAAGTAAAGAAATCTTGGAAGGAAGGCCTACGGGTATGACAGGAGAAGTCCTGACCATTTTAAGGCAGCTCATAAATGACATGCAATAAAATATGCATTGAAACAGAGGCCCAGGGAAGAAGGGAATATCCATGCTGACCACAAATACATGGTGGCAATAATGACATTGAGATTCAATTCCAAGCTTCCTGGCCACTGATGCCAAAAGGGAAAGTATGCTCAGTCTTATTGTTCTCATGGTTATGGGAGGGCAGGAAGAAAATTGGTTCTTTGGGAGAAATAAAGATCTCCCTAAAAGGAATGTTAAAAGGAACACTTTTGCATGGGGTTGGCTGCAGGGCAAGATGATGGTCCACTGGGAGTCGGCAAAGTGGGTCCCAAGGAAAGATGGTGCCCTCAGAGCTCCCCAAAGTTGCCCTGTGTGTGCTGTGCTTTGCTCATGTCAGACTGAAGAACACATGGAACACACAGACCAAAGGACTAAAGGGATGTGGAGATGTCATCTGCTCTGCCTGCGACGACAGCCCCTTTCCACAGACAAAGCCCCCACCCAGCCTGAGATCAGAGAGCTTCCTCGTTCCTGGTAATACAAAACAAGAAACCACATAAAACCACTCACGCTGTCTCTTGCACTTGCATTCTCTCCCTGTCACTTGTGCACACACACTCTCTCTTGCTCTCCTGGCATTTCATGACAATCGAGTCCCAACTGCCACATTTTCTAGATAGAAAAGTGAAGACTTGCCAAAGGCCACAATGGAGCCATAGAAGCAGGGCCAGCTCATTCTAATCCCACCAACAGTTCCAGGCATGCCGCTCCTGTTGGAAGCCAAGGTTCATCTATCTTCCTGCAGCTCCCAGGGGCTCAGCAGGGAGACATGGAGCCCAGCGCACCCAACTGTGCCTGTTTTAGCCCAGGAGCCTATCTCACAGCAGCTCCTTCATCTCTCCTCCCAGCTCCCTTCTCCCTCTCCAGCTGCAGCTGCCCTGCTGTCCTCAGCAGCTGATCCCTGTCCACCTGATTCCCCGTGGTACTTCCCATGCCATGCTGAATTCTTTCACCTTCAATAAGATCCAGGGCCTCAACAATGCCCAGTGTGGCTCACACTTGCTGGAAGAGGGTGGGTGATTAATAAATGCCTCTCCTAATAAGTTTTCCTTCTCTGGAGAAGCTGCCCTACCTCTTAATTTAGCCAAAGTGAAGCATTCTAAAATGTTTTAAAAGGGAGATTCTACAAACTACTATGTCCTATTTTAAAGGCCCTTTATCTTTTTTTTTTTTTTTTTTTTTTTTAAGATGGAGTCTCGCTCTGTCGCTCAGGCTAGAGTGCAGTGGCGCAATCTCGGCTCACTGCAACCTCCGCCTCCAGGGTTCAAGCAATTCTCCTGCCTCAGCCAGTAGCTGGGACTACAGGTGCCTGCCACCACCCCTGGCTAATTTTTGTATTTTTAGTAGAGACGGGGTTTCACCATATTGGCCAGGATGGTCTCAAACTCCTGACCTTGTGATCCACCTGCCTTGGCCTCCCAAAGTGCTGGGATTACAGGCATGAGCCACTGCACCCGGCCACCCTTTATCTATCTCAGAACGAGTTTTCCCCTTTTGCTGACAGGCAGACTAACCCGACAGAAAGAAACCACGGCTTGAACATCAAATGTAACTGAATTTTAGATCCAATATGACTGGATTTGGAACTCTGAATTCCAAACTCCACCACCCACCATCTTTATGACAGTGGGAATGCCACTTTACTCCTCTAAGCCTCATTCTCCTTATCTCTCAAATGGGGCTAATTACAGTTGTGCATGAGTATAATCACAATGAGCAATAACACGTGTGAAATGCCTAGCAAGGACCTGGCATAGGGACAGCACTCCGTAAATAGCAGTAATTATTTATTCGCCTGAATATATTCTTATTCTCAATGTTATTCATGTATATTACATCTTTCTCCCTGTCCAAAATCTTAATCTGAAATACTATACTCGTTTGTATCTGAGAGGTTCCTGACTACAGATTCATTTTATGCTTTCTTAAGTCTACTTGCAAAAAAAGAAAAGGAAAGAAAAACCCTAAACCGGTCATTGTCTACCAAACAACAGGATTTCAGGACACCGCCACTTTGGTCTAACAGAGTATCTCAAAATTAACACATCCAAAATATGAATTTCTGATTTTGCCTTAAAAATCTGTTTTTCTGCAGCTTCCCTCATTTCAGTTAATGGCAATCCCATCATTCCAGTCGGGTAGGCCAACACTCTCACGTCTATCAGAAAAGCCTGTCAGCTTTTATTCCCTGCACAGTGTATGCATTTTACAGATAAGGAAACTGAGGCGACACAGTCACAGAATCTGACACCTTTCGGCATCTTCACTGCTCCATCCCTGGTCCAAGCCACCATCTCTCTCCTGGATGATGCAGGTCTCATTATCTCCTACAAACTCTGCCCAGCAGCCAAAGGGATCCTTTTAGAACACAAATTGGATCAGGTCATTCCTCTACTCAAAACCCCTCCAACGGTCCTTCCTTTCAATAGAGGCTAAAGCCTTTTCTTCGGCTGATGTAAAGTTCTGTGCATCCCTCCCCTGACCCCCGCTTATCTCTTTGACCTCATCACCTCTCCCCCTCATTCACTCTGCTCTAGCCACCCTGCCTTCTTGCACATCCCCTCATCAGGGCCTCTGCACATGCTGTTCCTTCTGCCTGGAATGCTCTTCTCCCAGATCTCTGCCCCGTGTATTCTCTCTCCTGCTTCAGGTCTTTGCTCCAAGGTCACCCTCTCAGTGAATCTTCTCTGACCACTGTGTTTAAAATACAACCCCTCCTCCTACAGCACTCCTCTTTCTTCCCATGCTTCGTTTTTCTCCACCGTCCTTAGCAACAGCTAACATATTTATGTATGTATTTATTTTATGTCTTTAGAATATAAGCTCCAGAGAGGTAAGGATGGATGCCCATTTTATGCTTTATTTAGTCCCTTATGCCTAGACTAGTGTCAGGCCACCACAGGCCCTCAATAAATCTTTGCTGAATGAATAAGGGGGTGTGCACTGATCTGGGTTGATGTCACCACCCAAGTAAGTGTAGGCCTCTTAGCAAGTCAACAAAAGGGGGGGAAGAAAGCTTTGTGGTACTTTGTTTATATTATTATAGTCCTTTCTACACACAGTGTTCTATTTAGTGAGCTTGTCTCTCCTGCTAGGTTATGAGCTGGAAGAGTTTTATTCATCTTTGAAAAAATAGCACCAGAGGGTCCCCTCTAAGGGCTGTAATGACTATATGCAAGAGCTCAGCTGGGAGCTGTGTGCCCTCAGGCCCATCAGTATCAGGACCAATTTCCTTGTGTGTACATGAGGTTAATCACTGCCATGACAACGAAGGGAGGTTGTGCTGCTGAGCATATACAGCAAGCCCTTGGTACACGGTGCATGTCACAGCTGGGATAGGATTTCTAGAAGGTAGCTGGACAGAGCCTTTGAAGGCTAAGTATTGGGCAAAGGCGAGCCTGGGGGTCCAGAAAAGCAAACTTAGGGCCTTCTCCTCCTTCTCAGCAGATTGACCTTCTTGCTATCACAGCCCCGGGTCCTATTCTGCCCAGCACTGGCCCTAGCAAGTGTTTGTAGACCAGGAGTCCAGGTATCAGAAGGTGCCTACCTTCGGGGTAGGAAGGTGCTCAGAGACAGGTGACTACGGAGATTCCAAACTGGCAGCCCACGGCCGTATCATGCTTAAAGACCTGCATGTATATGTATTCCAATTCAGTCGATATTTATAAACTAAGAGATTTCATATTTTTTTAAAATCCATGTTTTCTGGCTTGTCTCAAACAAATTAAAAGATCTTTCAGCTCTGTGCCTGCATTCCTGCATGGCAGTGATTGTCTGAGACTGAGAAGTTGCTCCTTTCTGTCAGAGTTCTTAACAGAGCTCTTGCTCTTATAACTGGTCTGTGTTGTTTGTTAGTGGCACGGCATTGGAGCTTGGAGTCTCTTTTCTGGTCGAGTCTCATTTTATAGGTAGAAGATCTGAGGTCAGCGTGGGGGTGGGTGGCACTTGCCCAAGGCCCCCAGTAAATCAGGAGTGGGGCCAGGACTGCAACCCCAGGCTTACGGCTCTGAATCCAGGGCACTGGGATGTACAAGGAGGCTGAGAATGCAGCCTTGCAATGTTCTTTTGGTTGGTTCCCAGCTGTCAGGTAAGAAGAATGGGCTACTTGGGCTGAGGGGGAAATCCTTTTCAGGAAAAGGCTGGTGGGGCCAGGGAGGTAAAGCAGAGAGCACCATCTCTGGCTGCATGCAGCTAAAGCCTCTCTTCTTCCCACTTGCTGGCAAACACTGATCTCCCCGACCTTGTAAAATAAACTCAGGGGAAAGGCTCAGCCTACACTGGCTCTGTGGACATAGCACTCTCAGGTGTCCCTCTCACTCCCCTTTCCCGAGAGCAGGCATCCTAGGGGCCCCTGATAGGATGTAAAGAGCAGGGGCTTTGTCCTAGGGCAGAATCAAGCTGGAAACCTAGTTCTTAGCATAGGGCTGACCACGAGCTTTAACTTCATCTGTAAAATGGGGTTTCAGTTGTGAAGACTGAACTGAGTGGTGCATGCAAAGAGCCTGGCACACACACTGCTGGATGAACAGTAATTTCTTTCCCGTATGTTATAAACCAAGGCCCAGAGACAAATGAATAACTTATACCAGAAAGGTACTGAACTAAAATGGGCTCCCTTAGCTCCAACTGGGTAATTTTTAAGTTTTAAATATAGTTGTAAAAGTAGTACATACCCATTTAAAAGCCTTCCAGTTCCAGTTTTGCTACTCAAACCACTGATTAATTTGATTGCTGCCCCTTCTCAGGCCTTTTTCTAAGCACAGATATTTTTAGGGGGCAAGGGGTTGTTATGTTTACACAGTTATAGCCGTGGCAAAAATATAACTTGTATATTTTCAAAATGTACCATAGTTTAAGAATCGCCCATATGGCATATCCTTTATAAAAAGTATTTTATGGGCTGCATAGTATTCCATTTGATGGGTC
The DNA here is from genome assembly GCF_000001405.40 of Homo sapiens. NCBI lineage: Eukaryota > Metazoa > Chordata > Mammalia > Primates > Hominidae > Homo > Homo sapiens. Next base: position 1,282,348 of record NC_000020.11, on the reverse strand, counting down.
TGTCATGGTTCATTTAGCCTCCCTCTCTGTTGAACATTTAGACTTTCTATCAAAAATAATGTTACAATAGGTATCTTTGTGAATAATTATTTTCCTATATTTAGAATTATTTCTTTAGGCTGGTTCCCTGATAATGGATTTATAGGGTCGAAAAGTATGAATGTGCTGCCAAACTGCTTTCCCGAAGGGCTAGGTTGCCTATTGTTTCTCCTACCCATAATGTATACCTATTAGCTGGGTTTTCTACTTGATCAAACCACCAGCACTTAGCCAAAGCCTTAAAAGGCAAAGTGTTCAAGCTCAGACATACAAATCATCCAAGATGATTTTTCCATGTCTCTCCGGCCCTGTGGCAAGTATCTTCACCCCCACCCTCCACCCTCCACCCTCTGCCCCATGGCAATGCAGGCGGGGAACTGAGGCCAAGCTCAGAAATGGCCTAGCTCCCAGATTGAAAGCAAGCCTCCCAAAGCTACTCCCCCTTCTAATTACAGCATTTCCTATCTGTGTGGCAGCTCTGGCATGGCTGTTTCAGTCAATATTTACCAAGTGTCTATTGTGTGCCACTTCCTCCTCTGCCAATAGTCCCATAATCGAAGCACGTGTCACTGAGGGGTTGGGCAGAAGAGAGAGGGGCTTCTCTGCAGAACTCAGAAGCTGGTGCCCTTGAGCAGAGCTCTGGAGGACAGGTGCATAGTTGTTCTCCAGGTACCCAGGAGCTGCCTGTGGAGGAGCATTCCACATTCTGTGCAGGAATAGGGGTTAGCATTTACAGAGTCATGAAGAGTAAGAGAGCTACAGGGGGCTGGGTACTGCTAGACCACACAGTGTAGGGGCATAGGGAGAGTAGAGAGAAGGGCTGAGCCAGCAGAAAAAAGCCTTTTGAGCTTACAGAAAAAAGTTCTGATCAAATTTAAGGTCAAAGTCAGGTTTACAGTTCAAGGTCAAGGCAGGCCTAAGGCTCAAGGTCAGATTTATATTACAGAAGATAACCCTGTACGAGCTCTGCCAAGTATGGACTGGGAAGAGATGAAGAGAAGCACCAGGACAGGTCAGGGATGACGACGTTTTAACGAAGGCTATAGAGGTTAAAATGAGAGTGGAGGTGAGGAGGTGACAGAAGTAAAGGTGGCTTCAAGAGAAATTTAGGAAGTAGACTCTTGAGGGTCCCCAGAAGAGATAGGCTGTAGGGAATGACGGAAAGGGAAGAATTGTGATGACGCCCAGGCCTCTGTGTGGGTTAGCTTCGCTGCCTACTCAATATTCTATCCCTCCTCCCTCAATAATAGAACCTTATTCAGGGGTGGCAATATACCCACCTTAAAACATACAAACACACCCCCCACTCCACCCAGAGTTGCAGAGACAGTTCTGGCCTGTGAGTTGTGAACAGCAGCACCCTGGGCTTGGGAACCTGGCTAGGTGTCTGCTATCCTGCAAGGGCTAAAAGAGGAATGGGCATCATGCCTTCAGAGGCTTGGAGTCTTCCCAGGTGCTAGGAACAGAGCTGGATTCGAAATCGAGGCTTAGTAAACACCTGCTGAGGGAAGTCAGGCAGCCAAACAGATGACCTGACAGTTCTGAGAACCCCATTCCATCAATCCAGGAACCAGGAAGAGGGCCCCTGAGGGAGCTCCATCCTCTCACTCTCTTGGGACAAAGCCTGGTACAGTATGGAGACCACGGTACTTGGGGCCAGGACACTCAGCTCTGCCACTCAGTATGACTCAGACCTAAGGCATACCTCTCTTGACCTCTGGGTCCCTCAGTCTGCCCATGTATAAAGTGGAGATAACACATCCCACCTCATACAGCAGTTGTGACAACCCGACCTCTGCCTTGTCAGCCTCATTTCCCACACACCTCCTTTGCAATTCATCTTGAAAATTCACTGGACTTCTGCCTATGCAGTGCTGTCTTCCTGGAAAGCTCTCCCAAGCCTCTTCAGCCTACTTATTTTCCAAGTTCAATCCAGGCCTGAATGCTTGTGTGTAGCCTCAAGGGAGACAGAATTCACAGCTAGAGCACATCGTGCACCAGTAAGATACAGGCTGTTTACACACATCCCCACCTGTAGACCAGTCTCCCACCCTTTGGGAGTTACTGAGCCTACATGTATATGTGCATGCACACACACACATGTGTGTGTGATGCTGATGAGCTGAGAAAGAGGTCTGGCAGAAGAAGTCACGAGGTCCTCGTCCAGGCTCCACACAGCTCAGAGCAACGCAGAAAAGCTGTGGGCACCGCTCCGGCCAGTCCATGCCCCAATCTGGTCAGTGTGGAGCTCAACAAACCTTCCTTACTGAATAGTTCGCCTCTCCATCTCTGCCTCCAAAAGGCCTTTTGATGGCATTGGCACTGACACACGCTCCTCGCCCTTGCTGTTGGGAGGGTCGGCTGGAGAGCTCTACTCCAGTCTCTCACCCACAGGAAGGCACAGCTGTGCCCATCTTCACAAGATGAAGGATGCTAAGTTACCTTACTCACCCAGGGTCACAGGAATAAAAGGCATCAAGGGCCAGCCAGGCCTCTCTGGACATCAGAGCTGTTTGTGGGCTCTGACACTAAACCTTCATGGCATCTAAGGGACTTAGGCTCCCTGTTTGCAAAATAAGACCTGAGCCCAGGAGGTGGAGGTTGCAGTGAGCTGTGATGGTGCCACTGCACTCCAGGCTTGGTGACAGACTGACAGAGTCAGACCCTGTCTCAAAAAAAAAAAAAAAAAAAGAAGCCGGAGTCTCTCAGGAAACCAGTCTTTCTATCAGTGTCTCTCTCACTCACTCATACACACTGAGCAAGAAACTTCCACGAGGCCCTCTGGGGCAAGCCCTACACACTGGGAGAATGTATTTGCAAAATATATATTTAACAAAGAACTTATATCCAGAATGTATAAAGTACTCTCATACAACTCAATAAGAAGGCCAACAGCCCAGTTTTTAAAAATTAATGGGCAAAATACTTGAACTGATACCTCACCAAAGAGGATATGTGGCTGTCAAATAGACACAAAAAGATGCTCGACATCATTAGTTATTAGGAAAATGCCAATTAAAGCCATAAGGAGATACCATTACGAACCTATTAGAGTGGCTAAGATTTAAAAGACTAACCATACCATGTACTGATGAGGATGTAGAGGAACTGAAACTCCCATAATGCCGCGAGTAGAAATGTCAAATGGTACAGATGCTTTGGAAACACTTGGGCAGTAAAAAGTTACATATATATTTACCAAATGATACAACCATTCTTCTTCTAGGAACTTACCCAAGAAAATAGGAAAGTGTATGTCCATTGAAAGATTTATACACATACATTTATAACAGCTTTACTTGTAATAGCCAAAAAACTGGAAAAAACTAGATGTCCATCAACAAACAGATGAATGTATAAACAAATGATGATTTATCCTTTCTCCATACTATGGAATATGAGTTCGAGACCAGCCTGACCAGGATGGTGAAACCCTGTCTCTACTAAAACTAGAAAAAATTAGCTGGGCATGGTGGCGCATGCCTGTAATCTCAGCTACGCAGGAGGCTGAGGCAGGAGAATTGCTTGAACCCGGGAGGCGGAGGTTGCAGTGAGCCAAGATCGCACCACTGCACTCCAGCCTGGGTGACAGAGTGAGACTCTGTCTCAACAAAAAAGAAAAAAAAGGAATAAACTATTGGTATACACAACATCAATCTCAAAATAATTATGCTGAGTGAAAAAGCCAAACCAAAAATGTGCATATTATATTATTCCATTTATATAAACTACTAGAAAATGTGAAGTAATCTGTACTGACAGAAAGCAGATCAGTAATTGCCTGAGGATGAAGGGGGAGGAAACTTTTGGGGACGATGGAGATGTTCACTATCCTAATTGTGGTGATGGTTTC